>NW_017852930.1:0-300000 GCF_000001405.40 Homo sapiens | reverse complement strand
ATAGAATCATGGTGCAGCCTGCAACTCCCAGAGGTAAAACACACAGTACTAGACTTCCATCTGTAGATTTTACTTTTCAGATTTCATATCATTTTCTCAGAGTTAAATTCAAATTTAAAATCATTTAAGATTTCAAGGATTGTATTCATGTTGTTCTTTTAAGTGGTTTCATCATATTGGATTCTGTGTTTAGATATTTTATTAAGCATAATTTTATTATTTTTCAATTATATACACTAGGCAACTGCTTGTGTCTTAAATTTTAATTGCTTGCTTTTGTCATATTGAATTAGTTTTGAAATAGTCTTTTACTGTTGAATATTTCCCTTTTGATGAACTTAAAATAGTATCATTAATGAATTTTTTATCTGTTTGAGTAAATTTCTTATTTGTTTTGATTTGGATATTTCACATATACAAGCATAACTCAGAATTATTCAAAATTGAAGAGATGTGGTATGAATCATCTGAAGGATCAGTAATACAATAATTTAATATTTTTAAATTCATGTTTGACATTGCACTTGGATTTGGAAACATTTAGCCTAGAATAAAGACAGTTTATTGGTATTATAAGAGCTGTGTTAAGTATTTGAATCTTTTGAATCACAAATGAACTCTTATACTAGTAGAATCAAAATCTGTGCCATATTGTGCTCTCTTTTTGAACATGTGATGTAATGAAGATATTTCAGATAAGTTAAAAATACCATTGTTTTACTAGCTTTAGAAAGGAGACCAGTAAAAGTGTTATTTGACTGATGTAATCTGAGGGAAATTGCTCTGTGAAAACATTAGGTGATTTTGCATTTAGATTTTGACTGTTCTTCCTCGTTATAGAAGATTCTTAATTTATAGTAACTTGTTTATTTGCTGAGACAAGAGTATAAAATACATTTGGTTTTGCTGATGTTCAGGAAGAGAGTCATTTAGCTAATGTATGAGCTTAGCTTTGCTTACTTACCCAATTTCATCCTTGTTAGTTATCTATATATTCCTCAGATTCTCATTATTAATACCATATGCAGCAATTCTCAAAACTCACATTTAAAAACTGGGAAAATCTTGAAATTCCTATTGTTTATATCTATTGAATGTACTATATTAATATGAGAGATTTAACTCCTGTACTTTCAGTTGTAATGCTTACTCACTTTTATTTTGTAGACCTGTGACTATTGTTCAGATTATTTTGAAAATCACCATAGGAAGGTCTGATTGCTTGGTTAAACATTTAACAAATATTCATTACATTCTGTGTGTCCAAAACGGTATAAGGTGCTAAGGGAACAATGACAATGCATTTGTAGTTTAGTAAAAGATGCAGATGAATACACTATGATAGTATACAGTAAGTGCAGTACTAAAGATTAAGTATAAGGTGCTATGCAATTACATAAGACAGACACTAGTCTGCAGGGAAATGATCATGGAAGGCTCTCCAGAGGAAGTGGATAAACTAGATATGAAGAATACTCAAGTATTTGCCAGATCAAGGGGATGGGTGCTTGTTCAGATTGGTGAAAGTGTATCATACAAAGAGACAGCCTTTCCTAGAAGAAATTAAAGATGGGGAATACAAGAAAAGAAGGACAGTGTATTAGTCCGTTTTCACACTGTTGATAAAGACATACCCGAGACTGGGAAGAAAAAACGGTTTAATGGACTTACAGTTTCACATGGCTGGGGAGGCCTCACAATCATGGGGAAAGGCAAGGAAGAGAAAGTCATGTCTCTCATGGATGATAGGGGCCAAAGAGAGTGCTTGTGCAAGGAAACTCCCGTTTTTAAAACCATCAGAAACTCCCATTTTCAAAACCATCAGATCTTGTGAGACTTATTCACTATCAAGAGAACAGCATGGGAAAGACCCGCTGCCACGATTCAATTACCTCCCACCGGGTTCCTTTCATGACAGGTGGGAATTGTGGGAGTTACAATTCAAGGTGAGATTTGGGTGGGGATGCAGCCAAACCATATCAGACAGGGAAGCGTTGAGAGATAGGGCCAAATATTATATGGCCATCCAAGCCATATTAGGGAATTTCAACTTTTACAGGAGAGCATTGATGACTCCAAGGGAGTAATGTAATCCGACTTGTATTTTAGAAAGATCACTCTGACAATAATGTCAAATGGATTGGAATATTGGGAGCATAATTAGAGACAGGGAAGTCCAGTATGCCAGGCAAGAGTTCATGGTGATAAGAATTAAGGGAGTAGCATTGAGGATGGAACAAAGTAATGGGATCTGTTTTAAGGAGATATAGGAGCAGTGAGATGTGGTTAAAGAAGTAGGGCTGACTTGCAAAATTAAATGGATAGTAGGTCTACTCACTGAACCATTCGTAGGAGGAATGGTTCTGTGAGGGATAATCATATGTACATAATTAATCCTTGAACAATGTGGGGGCTAGGGTTGCTGACTCCCCATGCAGTCAAAAATCCATGTATAACTTTTGACTCCCCAGAAACTTAACTGCTAATAGCCAATTGTTGACTGGAAGCCTTACCAATAACATAAATAGTTGATTAACACATATTTTGTATGTTATTTGTATTATATACTGCATTCTTACAGTAAAATAAGCTAGAGAAAAGAAAATGTTATTAAGAAAATGATAAGAAAGAGAAAGTATATTTAATGTTCATTAATTGGAAGTGGATCATCAAAGATTTTCATTCACATCGTCTTCATGTTGAGTCGGCTGAGGAGTAGGAGGAAGAAGAAGTGTCGGTTTTGTCTTAGGGTCGCAGAGGCAGAAGAGATGGAGGGAGGTAGAAGAGTAGGCAGGAAAGGCAGGCACACTCAGTGTAACTTGACAGAAATACATGGCAATTTCTGTCTGACTTTTTTGCTTTTTCATTTCTCTAAAAATGTTTCTGTATGGTACCAATCCTTTCACCATTTACTTTAGTTTCAGCGCCTGTAACATGGAAGGGTCCATGTTATAAAAGAAGTCAAAAGTAGTCTTGAATAATTGGAACCATTCTGCTAGATTGTCTAATGTCAATTTGTTTTCTGGCACTGCTTCTTCTACATCTTCTTCCTTATCTTCTGGCACTGGTTTGGAAACACTCCTGAAACCCTTCACCACTGCCACCTTTTTCTCATATCTATGATCTCTTTCATGGTTTCTTTGATTGGCTCTGCTGTAAATCCTGTGAAGTCATGCACAACATCTGGATCCAGTTTTCTCCAGCAGTAATTTATTGATTCAGGCCTGATGGTTTTCATGGCTTTTTCTGTAACAGCGATGGCATGTTCAGTGGTGTAATCCTTCCAGACTTAAATTATGTTCTCTCTATTGGAGTTCTCTTCTATAGCATTGACAGCCCTTTCCATAGAGTACCATATGTAATGAGCCTTAAAGGTCCTTATCACACCAGATCTAGATGTTGAATTAGAGTTGTTGTGGTTGGCGCAAGTAGTCTACTTTGATGCCCTGGATGTTGAACCTCATGGGGTTCTGGGTGGCCAGGGCATTGTCTGATATCAAAATAACTTTAAGGCAAGGTACTGACTTCAGGGACAAACCAACAGTGGACGCAATTAAGAAAAGGTGTTCTCGTTGTCCAGGCCTTCTTGTTGAACAACCAAAAGACTGGCAGTAGTGTTTATCTTTTTCCTTCAAATCTTGGGGTTAGTAGCTTTAATAGATAAGGACAATCCTCCTGATCATAAGCCCAACTGCATTTGCACAATACAATGGAGCTAGCCCATCTCTTACTGCCTTAAATCCTGGTGCTTGCTTTTCTTCCTTACTAATAAATGACCTTTATGACATGTTTTTCCAGAATAGGGTACTTTTGTCCACATTAAAAACCTGTTCAGGCATATATCCTTTCTCCTCAATGATTTTCTTAATAGCACCTGGGAACTCATCTGCTTCCTCTTGAGCAGCAGAAGCTGCTTCTCCTGTTACCTTGATTTTTTTGTTCTTGTTACATAAATTAAACCTTTATTCTAGGCTAGTGTTGTCTCAAATGATAGAGCTTCTACTGGCCTTTCAATTTCTTCAGTCTTCTGATGGCCATCTTTGCCATGTTGGTGGAAGTGGCATTGTAGATCCAGGCACCATCAGCTACTGTTTTCATGTAGGAACCATAGTGTAAGATCCCTAACTGCTTGTTTCTTCATCTTGGTTTAGCCACAGAAGGAGCAAGTGTACTTGGCAGGATGGCTGATTTCAGTTTTCTTCAGTGTTTTCCAGAGGGAGGCACCATAGCAATCCCATATTTACCAGTGATTTCAACCTACTTGGTGAGTTTTAGCTATGTAGCTGTGAACTAGGCACAAGCCCAGAGAGGACTATCTTGATATTTTTAAAGCCACACCCCTTTCTAAACTTATTAAACCATCCTTTGCTGGGATTAAATTCTCCAGCTTTAGATCCTTTACCTTCTTTTTGCTTTAAGTTGTCATATGACCTCACTATTTCTTGAATCATATAGGTGTGCCTTTTTTGTAGCAATCATGCACCCACATAAAAGCTACATTTTCAATATGAGATAAAAAGATATTTTGCAAAAAGTGCTGCTGTAGCTGCAGCAATGGCTTCACAATTTTTCTTTTCTTTTTTTACAGTGGTCCTTATGCCGGATTCATTTATCTTGAGATGGTGGGCAACCATAGCTGCAGGTCTCAAAATTCAGCACATATCAAGCAATTCAGCTTTTTCTTGTAATGTCCTGTCTTTTCTCTGCTTCTTGGAAACACTTCCAACAACATCACTAAGGGCACTTCATATGGGTCCTATGAAGTTTTTCAAGGTTTATGGTATTGCATTAAAAACTATGAAAAATAAGTGAGAACTGCAAGAGATCACTTTCTATTGTGATAACACAATACTAGAGAGAGACAAACTGCTCAAGTGAAGATGATAGCATCACTTAACATTTAAGGGGATAATTGTAACACTTGAGATCACAGCAATAGCAAAAGGATGTGGCTACCAAATTGTTACAGTAGTACAGTATGAACTACAGTTAATTTTTCTTTTTTCTTTTACTTTAAGTTCTTGGATACATGTGCAGAATGTGCAGGTTTGGATACATGTGGAGAACGTGCACGTATACATGTGCCATGGTGGTTTGCTGCATCTATCAACCCATCATCTAGGTTTTAAGTCCCGTGTGCATTAGGTATTTGTCCTAATTCTCTCCCTCGCCTTGCCCCCCACCCTCTGACAGGCCCCTGTGTGTGATGTTCCCCTCCCTGTGTCCATGTGTTCTTATTGTTCAACTCCCACTTATCAGTGAGAACATGTGGTGTTTGATTTTCGTACTACAGTTAATTTTGTGCAGTGATGATTTAATACCACATCTTTATGTTTGTTTACATTTTTCTCAACTGTGAATGGTGCCATGTATGGTCTGCAGGTGTTTTCATAAGTTTTGATAAATTTTAATTTTTATAATATATTTGTGTATATTTTATGGTAGTAATAAAATAGACTGGTATCCACATATATTTTATATATTCATGACATATATTTTTCTTAATTTTTTTGATATTTCTAGGCTGTGTGGTTCATCTGCAAGTTTTTTCAAATTGTTGCATCAGATCTCCAAAAAAATTTCCAATGTATTTATTGGGAAAAAAATCTGTGTATATGTGGACCTGCACATTTCAAACCTATTCAAGAATCAACTGTACTCTGGGACATGTTGAATTTGAGGTGCTTATTAGACATCCAAGTGTAGAGAGCTAATAGGAAACTGTATATGTGGATTTGAAGTCCTGGAGAAAGAAAAGGGCAGAAGACACAGATCTGAGAGTTGCCACAAAAGGGGGGAAATAGGACAGATATCCTGAGGAATTCTAACATGTAAGGGGTGAGCATAGGAAGAGAAGACCAAAAGACTAACAGGCATTAGCTAGAGAGGTGGGATGGTATGAAATGATGGAAACTAAGAAAGCATGGTGTTTTAAGGATGAAATATCAACATTGTAGATGAGAGTTGAAGAGTAGCCTTAGGATTTAGCCAAAAAAAAGAAAGAAAGAAAAAACATGGTTGGTGACCTCCGCAAGACAGCTTCAGGAATATGGTAATCACACAAGTATTGAGATCAAGGTGAACATTAGTGTGAACTCATTTTTCATATGCCTCTTTCAATGAAGAAGTAATTTCAGCTGTTCAGCAATATAACATTCCATGTTTTGGGGGAGGAGGGTGTCAGTAAGAATATTATTATTATTTTTGAGACAGAGTCTTACTCTGTCGTCCAGGCTGGAGTACAGTGGCATGATCTTGGCTCACTGCAACCTCCACCTCCCGAGTTCAAGTGATTCTCCTGCCTCAGCCTCCCATGTAGCTGGGATTACAAGCGTGTGCCACCACGCCCAACTAATTTTTGTATTTTTAGTAGAGATGGGGTTTCACCATATTGGCCAGGCTGGTCTCGAACTCCTGAACTCAGGTGATCCACCCACCTCAGCCTCCCAAAGTGCTGGGATTACGGGTGTGAGCCACTGTGCCCGACTGTCAGTAAGAATAAAATTAATTTGTGGAAAGTTATTTTTGAAGACTTTATAATCCGAATAAAAGCCTGATTTATGAAATGCTGTAACCTGGAACTTTAGATTTTAAAAGAAAAAGAGAAACAGATGTCATAATATAGCTTGAATTTGAAATAACTGGGATTTAATCTAAACTACCAATGACCTGGAGTTTCATCTTATAGATAATATATGGTTATTGACAGAGTATTATGAGATACTGTATGAAAAATGCTATAATGCCTATAGCCTCTAATATAATACCTTGTCAAGTATGTGTGTTTGTATGTAAATATGTGATATACTGAACACCTTATATATAACTGTATCCTGGTTAATAACTTCAGGACACTTTTCCTCTTCGTATGTATATTATCGTGTGACAAAGTGAAAGTTTAAAACAACAAACATTTATGAAATTACATCATTTCTGAAGAATAATAGCCCCCTAAAGATGTCCATGTCCTATTTCCTAAAACCCCCAAATATGTTACATTATGTGGTGAAAGAGACTTTGAAAATATGGTTACAATTATGGACCTAGATATGGGCTAAGTAATACATGAGACCTTAAAAGTGGAGAACTTTTCCCAGCTGATGTTGGAAGAGATGAGTCAGAGAGGTGAGGCAGAAGGGTGTTCAGAGAGATTCAAAGCGTGAGATGGAAGTAGGGAGCTATGAGCCAAGGAATGTGGGTGGCCTCTAGAAGCTGAGAATATCCCCCAGCTGACAGGCAGCAAGGAAACCAGAAAGTCAGTGCTGCAACTACAAGGAACTGAACCTTGTCAAAAACCTGGCTGAATCTGGAAGCAGTTCTTTCCCAGAGCCTCCATTAAGTAACACAGACAGCCAATACCTTGATTTCAGGTTTGCAACACCCAGAGCAGAAAAAGCCACTTGAGCCCACTGGACTTCTAACCTACAGAACTGAGATAGTAAATTGTATTGTGTAGAGCCACTAATTTTGTTGTAATTTGTCATGGCAGCAATAGTTAACTAATGCAAAGGGATGGGAATCCAGAAGTGGCTTAGCTGGGTGATTCTGGCTTAGGACCTCTCATGAGGTTGTAGTGAAGTTGTCAGCCAGGGTGTGACTGTGGTGGAAGGATGTACTTTCAAGCTGACTCACATGGTTGTTGGTAGGCCTCCATTCCTCACCATGAGGGCCTCTTTCCAGGGCTGTGCATGATGTGGCAGCTGACTTCCCAGTGTGAGTGGGGAGAGAGAGAGAGACAGTGAGAGCATGTGGGTACACAGTATAGAAGCCATAATGTTTTTTAAAGTCAAATCTCTAATATGATGTATCGTTATGTTTGCTGTATTCTGTTGTTCACGTGGACCAACCCTGGGATAATAATGAATTACATTACAGAGGAATGTGATTACCAGGACGCAGGGATCATTGGGGGATCATGTTGAAGGCTGGTTACCGTAAGTATGTGTGCCTAAGATGACAAACTGTCAGTTCCGTATTACCTAATTAGCCATATATAATCCCAGGTCTGCAGTGTAATTTTAAGCAAGTTATTTAGCCTCTCTAAAACTCCAGTTATTCATTCAAAATTGAAATAGTTGAAATTAGTTTTATGTGTCAACTTAGCTAGCTTAAGCAAATAAGGTGTTTCTTAAAGGTCTCAGGACTTACTATTTTTGAATATGCGATTTGAAGATTAAGGATCTTGAGATATTTTTGATAAGTTAAAGGAATGGTTGAATATAGAAGACTATCACTGATTTACCTTGTCTCAGATTATTCTTGAACTGGTCAAGTTTGTCATATCATGTGCATATGGCTGCTCCCTCTGTAATGACATAGATTGTTCCTAGAGCTGCTGAGTGGTGCCTTTTTTGCAAGGGGCACTATTCTCAATGAGGTCTTTATGAGTGGCACTTGTCAAGTTGTGCAGTGGGCAGTCTGTGTATCCCTACACAGTGGCCCTGTATTTATGTATTTTTGACAATTTTAGGACTTAAGTCCGTAGGTATAAGTGTCTCTTTTGTTTGTTGGTGTGTCTTGTAGCATAGTGCCTAGCGCATGATTACTCAATAAATATTTGTTAAAAGAATGGATGAGTGCATGAGTGAATGGTTGATGGGGCAGTATCACTATTCAACTACTTAAATGCTTTTCATCGTATACCATTCTTTTAGTCATCACAATATTTTTTATTTAATTTTATATTGTGATACCAAGAAGATTCTATTTACACTAAAGAATGAAATAGAACAATTTGTAAGATAGTGGAATAAATGAAGGCATAAGTACTTGCTAGTTAGTTTCTGATAGATTAAGGCAATTTTCCAATTCATCTTTCATTACATAAGTCCAAAATGGATTAACAGTAAACCTGTTTGTAAATAGTAGTCTCTTATGTGTTGAAGAATTGCTTTCAGTTTGTGTATGCTCATCATAAATATAGAAAAGTTTAATATTCTTAAGTATTTTATGGGTGGTATGCAAGATAGTTTAGTTGAAGAATCTTTTCAGGAATATTTTAGTTGAGGATATTGTATCTTGAGGAATTATGCTATTCTCTCTTACTTAAACCTTTAGAAATGTGTATGGTTTTAAGTAAAAATTTAACAAAGACCTAGGAAGAGTGTGTTTTTGTAACTCCACTAATATTTATTAGCTACATTTCTACAACATTTTTTTTTGAGACAGGGTCTTGCTGTGTTGCCCAGGCTGGAGTGCAGTGGCCTAATCACGGCTCACTGCAGCTTCGAGCTCCTGGGCTCAGGAACTCCTGGGCTCCTGGAAGCTCCTGAGATACTCCTATCTCAGCTTTCCAAGTTGCTGGGACTACCAGTGCCTGTCACCACTGGTATTTTTTGTAGAGACAGGGTTTTGCTATGTTGCCCAGGGTGGTCTCAAACTCCTGGGTTCAAACAGTTCCCCCGCCTTGGCCTCCCAAAGTGCTAGGATTACAGGCATGAGCCACTACGCTTGCCCTACATTTCTGCTTATTAGTTTCAGTTATAAGAAATTATGAGGGTATGTGTGTCACAATCCAAAAAGAAGTACTCTTTAAGACTGATGCTTTTTTAAATTGTATTTTTGGTCATCCAAAAGAGTTGTGTTACTCAACTTCAATTCAATTTTGATGTGTTTCTTATGTGAAAATCGCTATTCTTTTATTACAGGAGAGGCATAGTCCTTGCTCTTTAGAGTTTATGATATAGTATTTGATGATTTGGGATATGTAAAACTAAGAGAAGTATAAACATAACTTTAATATGATCAGTATTCAAAAAGATATTAACAATGTGCTATGAAGTTTCAAAGTAAACCATATTGTTTGAAGAATTAGAACAAGTTTCATTAAATAAAGTAGGGGGTGAAAGAACAGGTATAATTCTGAAAAGCAGGGTTGGAGTGGCGAAAACAGTGTAAGAAAACTGCAGGTATCTTTCAGCTTATAAAATCCTGAACCATTTGGCCTGTGCAACTTTTCATGGCTAACTTTTTACTTTTAATTATTGCTCTGAGCGATGATAAGATGGACTTGAATAGTTTAAACTCTGTAAAAATAATACTGAATAATTTAGACTCTATTGTAAAAATAAATTATATGATTAATTTGCTGTTCTATCCTGCAACCAGCCAGTTTACTGAGGATAGGAGATTGTGGTAGTATTAGCTAGACTAGAGGATAATACAGAATATAGAGACTTATAGAACTGAGAGGGACATAGAGAGACCAGTTAATTCATCATCCCCGTTTTGAAGATTAAGAAACAACAGAGAGATAAGTGCCCAGTTTTCTACACATATTTACTCTGATGGAACTGTTCCTGTGTAAGTCTATGTCTTTCAACTGTCAGTCCATTAGGATTATTTGAGGTAGGCGTCTAATTCATTTTTGTTAAGGTAACTGAATCTGAAATATTTAATTTGTGCAGAATCTGTAGATTCCTACAAACAAATCAGTCCAGTGCTTTCCCTGCTTTCTGTGTCTCTTACTAGAGATCTCATTTATAGCTCACCTAGAAGACGGTAGAGAATATATGAAATATATAATATCAATTTGGCTGTAGGAGAGACTGTGAGTGGAATGGATAGGAACATAAGTATGCCAGTTGGCATAAGTCCTTCATGGCACAGAAACATGAGGAAAAATTCTAAACTATGTTGATAGAGGAAGAGATTGAGTCCACCATAAATTAAGACTAGGATTTTAACAAAAAAAATATTTCTGGGCTGTCAGCAAAGTCATTTACATTTTTAGTTTTTATTAGCAGCATAATTTAAAGTCTCTCCTCTATCATAATACTTCATTACATTAGAGATATTATTTTGGCCTGAGGTATTTTTTGACAGCTTTATTAAGATATAATTAACATATCATGTAATTCACCCATTATAACTTGTGCAATTCAATGGCTTTTAGTATATCCAGAGAGTTGTGCAATTGTAGCCATAAACTAATTTTAGTAGATTTTTATTATTCCCCGAAACCACTTCATACCTATTAACAGTCACTCTCCTTTCCTCCCCAAACCATGCAGTCCTAGGCAACTAATATTCTAGAACAAATATTCTGTTTCACAGGTTTGACTATTGTGGATATTTCATATAAATGGGATAATATAATATATGATCTTTTATGCCGGGCTCTTTCACTTAGTATATATTTTCAGGGTTCTTTCACATTGTAGCATGTGTCACTACTTCATTCTTTGTAATTGCCAGATAATATACCATGTATGGATATACCACCTTTTGTTTTTCTTTTCATCAGCTGACAGACATTTGGGTTCTGCAAATATTTTCTCTTTTTCTGTGAATTGTCTTTTCTGAAGTAATTTTATTTTAGTTTAAAGGTAATACAATTTGAGAGATATAACATCCTATTTTCATGGACCTGCAGCAAGGGAAAACCCTTGATGTTGCATCTTTTAAACATTATTATAGACTCCTCTCAAGCTTGGAAAGAGATTAGGATGTATAAATTAAGGAACTGGAGAGTTATACTGCTAGGTCAGCTATTTTATTACAGTAGATTCCAGACTGTATCTCTAAATTTTGTTCTTTCTTTCTGGTGTTTCTTTTTCCAGCTTTTAAAATCTTGTATTTGTATTCTCTGAAACACATCTATTATAGCGTATTATTGGGTCTGCCATCTACCCAAAGAGTCTGCAACCCTAAATTATCTCTCTTGGTGACAGATTACATGCTACAAGTTTCTCGTATAGACTTTTTTTTTTTTTTTTAGGTGAAATTGATTTAAACCTCAGATGAGACTGTATTTCCAGAAGGTAACATGTAGCCAGAGGCATATATGTGAAAGTAGGGAGGGAACATGGTTGACATACTGTTGGGCTGATGTTTACCTTTAGTGCATAAGTATTTAAAAAAAAAAACAACAAAAAACCTGTGGGTTACTCCTGACACATACAGCCATATCAAGCTTTCTCTTTTGTCAAGGCCAGATGTATTAGTCTGTTCTCACATTACTATTAATATAAAGAACTCCCTGAGAATGGGTAATTGATAAGGAGATTTAATTAGCTCCTGGTTCTGCAGGCTGTACATTCTTCTGCTTCTAGGGAAGCCTCAGGAGACTTATAATCATGGTGGAAGGCAAAGGGGAAGCAAGCATGTCTTACATGGCTGGCAAAAGGAAGAGAGCAAGCCCAAGGGGAAAGTGCTGCACACTTTTAAACAGCCAAATCTCTTGAGAACTCACTGACTATCACAAGAACAGGGGGGGATGTCTGCCAACATGATCCAGCCACCTCCCACCAGGCCCCTCCTCCAACATTGAAGATGACAATTCAATATGAGATTTGGGTGGGGCCACAGAGCCAAACCACATCACCAGATGCTTGGTTCTTGAAATTGTGTAAGATTTCTTTCCTTACCTTTTAGATAACATATTTGCTGAGTTCATGGATCATAGTTTGGGCTAGAAGGAAAAGAGCATTGCTAAACTAATGCATACCAATAGGTTTATTATTTTGAAGAATATTTCTATTTTAAAATGTGACTTATTAAATAAATCCCTGATTGATAGAATTTAAACTCTTTTAGTGAAGTGAATAACTTTGAGCAGTGGAGGAGATTTTTGAGCATTAGTCATTAAAATTTAGCACATATGGTCTAAGTAAATGCCAGAAGAGATACAAGTAATGTGCTGTGAAAATTCAGAAGATGGATAAGTTATTTACAATTTGGAAGGTTAGAAAATATGTTATGTGGAGCTGGCACTTGAACTGAGTTTTGAAAGATAAGATTTTATTGGGCTATTTGGAGATTGGGAAGGTGCATACACTTGGAGTCAGGGGAATAATCTTCTAGTTTGACTAAAATGTAAGCTCTGGATTACAGGTCAAACATTGGATTGAATGCACACCTTTATTTCTGCTCTCTCCTTTATGTTCACTAAAATGACAGTGAAGGGCTAAAAAGGCATAAACGACAAAAACAAAGAATGGAGACAAGTTAAGGACTCAATCCCCTAAGATTGTTCCCACTGCAGATGGCAGTTATAAGTCCCAGGTTATCAGTAGTATTTCTCATCTACCTGCTGTAGATTAAGGGGTTTCCCACAACTCCCTCCTCAGGATTGGTAATTCTTTTTTTTTTTTTTTTTTTTTTTGAGACGGAGTCTCACTCTGTTGCCCAGGTTGGAGTGCAGTGGCGCGATCTCGGCTCACTGCAACCTTTGCCCCCCTGGGTTCAAGCCATTCTCCTGCCTCAGCCTCCTGAGTAGCTGGGATTACAGGCTCCCGCCACCATGCCCGGCTAATTTTTTTTGTATTTTTAGTAGAGACGGGGTTTCACTGTGTTAGACAGGATGGTCTCGATCTCCTGACCTCATGATCCACCCACCTCAGCCTCCCAAAGTGCTGGGATTACAGCCATGAGCCACCACGCCCGGCCTGGGATTGATAATTCTTTAGAACAACTCACAGAGCTCAGAAAAGTGCTTAACTTATTATTACTGTTTGTTGTTGTTGTTTTAAAATAAAGGATACAACTCAGGAACAGCCAAATAGAAAAGATATATAGAGCATAGTATGGGGGAAGGGGCACAAAACTTCACTTCCCTCTCCCATGGGTTGACCTCTCAGCACCTTGATGTATTCATCAACTCAGAATTTCTCTGAACCCTGTGGTTAGGGGTTTTTATGGAGGTTCCATTACATAACGATGATTGATTAAATCATTAGCCATTGGTGATTGACTCAGTTTTCAGCCTCTTTTCCCTCCCCAGAAGTTGGTGTGGGGTGGGATTGAAAATTCCAATCCTCTAATCATGCATTGATCTTTCTGGTGACCAGCCTTCATCCTGAAGCTGTCTAGTGGCCACCATCATTCTATTAGCATGCAAAAGACCGTCTTATTAGTCCAGAGATTCCAAGGATTTTAGGGGCTGTGCCAGGAACCTGATACAATATTTGGGACAAAGATGAAATATTTATTTTTCATTATATTACAACATCCCTCTCAGCTTTTTTTTTTTAACCAAGAAAAACAACCAAAACTAAACTATCCTATAGCTGCTGAAAGTTGTAGTTATTTTACTGATTTCTGCTGAGGTGTTGAGAATTAAGACCAGAATAAACTTATGGTAATTAATTCATTCAAACAAATACATACTGAAGTTCTCCTATGTCCTAGATATTACTCTAAGCACTAGTGATACAACAACCAAATTTCTGCTCTCAAGAAGATTAAAAGAATGTTTTAGGGACAGTTAGACAAGTAGATTCTTACACAGTACCCTTTACTGATGTGGAGAATACTGAGTGAGGAGCCATTTTATGGGAGAAATAACAGTTCATTTTGGAAGTATTAAATTCGGCCTACCTTTCCACTACCCAGTGATATATTAGTCAAGAAATTCATGGAGGATGTTGGGGCTGAGGATATAAATTCAGGGTAGACAGTGTGTCGATTACAATGATCCAAGAGGCTCAGCTCCTTCTCAGCAGAATCATAGGCCTGCCTCTCCCCTTTGCAAGTTCACCTTACCAAACTTAGAGTCCTTCTCTCCTTCTCCTTCAGCACCTCCTGTTTTCTAATGTATCCCATTTTTGAAATGTCATTTTGGCACAAAACTTCTACTTCCTTTTGCCCAGTCTCTCAGACCCTGCAAAAGTACAAAATTGTCTTTATTTGCAGATGACATGATAGTCTACTTAGAAAACTCAAAAGGATCTATTACATTAGATTATAATCTATTAATTATATTTTACATAATTGTTACATATGTAGTTAATATGGTTATGTTAAATATATTTAAGAAATATAATTAATAAAATTTAGCCAAATTTATGGAAATAAGATCAATTTATATAAATTATTTTCCTATATACTACATATAAAGTTATAAATGTAATTTTCTAAGTAAAAGATACATTAAAGTAGCAGCAGAAAAGTAATGTATTTAGAAAAGAGCAGGTTTGGTGGTGGTAGGAACAAAAGCCTATTTATAATGGGCTCGAGAAAACGGGGAGAGCAAATCCAAATAGAATACTGACAACTTACCTGAGGAATTTTCCTGTAAAGTGCAGCAGAGAAACTAGTAGTAACTGGAAAAGGATGTAAATTTCAAAGATTTTTTTTTTCTTTTATAAGCTGTAGGAATTGCATCATAGTTATATCTGATGGGAATGATTCCGTAGAGAAGGGAAAAATTGATGATGTAAGAGAGTGAAGGGAGCATTCCTGGAAGAATGTCCTTGATGAGGCAGGAGGGCATAGAACCTAGTGTACATAGTGGAGAGGTTGGCCTTACGGTAATGATCGTGGGATTGGGTAGCAGAAATTGGGTTGAACACAGGATCATTAGAAGAGAAGAGGTCAGGAAGTGGTGATGAATGGCATAGTTTGATGATATGAGATTCAAAGCTGGAGTTTTGAAGAGGGTGGAGGGAGAAGAGCCTGAAAGTGTCAGTAGGAAGCAAAGTGGACAACAACCTAACCTCCAGACCATGTGGTAGAAGGGATAAAGGAGAAAACAATGCCTACTTGAAAGACTGTAGAAGGAGAGCCAAGTTTCTGTTAGAACAAGAAGGTATGAATTTATTTTCTTCATAAAGCCTGTTTCTCTCTGATCTAAATTATATTCCTTCTCATGGTCTTTTCAAGCACTTAAATCGCCTCTAGTTTATAATTACTTCTTTGTAAGTACCATTGTTTGGTTGTAAACAGTATAAAGTCTCCCATACAGTAGCTTAACAGTAACAGATGCATCTTTCTCATGTGATAGTCCAGGGGTATTGTAGGGCAGGAAATATAACTTCTCAGTCCTCCTAAGTTTGTAGTTGGGAGAGAGTCCTATAACAAAAGACAGAGTAAGAAGAGAAAAACAAGCAAGTTTGCTAATGTGTGCAGTGCACATCACTCAGGAGAAACCTCAACGAAAGATAAAGCAGTGGCTTAAAACTCTGGCTTATATAACGTTTTGACAAAGAACAATACATTTTAGAGAAGTGACAAGACAAAGAAAAGCAGTTTTAGGCTTCCAGAGGTGGGAAACTGTGGGAAGGTAAATTTATGGGAATAAACTAATGGAATAAGATTTGTTTGCAGATTTCTCTGGTGCTGCCTCTGAGCTGGTAAGACTTGTCTCCAGTAAAGGAGAATTTATATCCTGTCTTGGTAGAAAAGAGTGGAGGATAGAAAGAGCCCTTAGTCCATTTGCTGCTTCTTAATTGCCTTTAGCTCAAAAATATTTATGTCAAAGAGTCATATTTTGGGATGATAGAAACTAAGTTTCTTCTCTTTTTCTGGTCCACTATGCTTATTTTCATCCATAGGGCCTCAGTAAGATTGCTTTATCTTCAGGCGTTGAATCTAGTTTCCAGGTAGGAAAAGAAGGAAGAGGTATTGACTACCTGAGAAAGTAAAACTTTCCCATAAGTCTTTGACAGATTGGAACATATATCTAATTGGCCATTTCTTGCATGTTAACTGTTTCTCATGGACATATTTTGCTAGAAAAGGAGATTTATTTAGCTGGGCACCTTATTACCATGAACAAAATTATAGTTTGGTTAGTTATGATCAAGGGGAAAGTGGATATTGGTTTAGAAATTTGCAGGTACTGTAATGAAAAAATGCTTAGTATATACTGTTGTAGGAAAGCAAGAATTTCAGTTTCTATGAGGAATGTCTGATTTGATTATGGTTTAAAAATGCATATTAAGATGTACATTAATATGTGCATCTAAATATATATAAATTAAAAATAGACATGTGAAATGTATATTAAAATCATATACTTCCTTTCTGAAGTATCTAAGAGAGCAACTGTCACAGAGTAGCTATTCAATAATAGTTGTCCAGTGGAAGGACTTTAAGTATCTGAAAGAGCACCTGTCACACAGTGGCTATTCGATAATAGTCGTCCAGTAAAAGGCAAGACATATTCACTTTCTTCCAGGCACCAGTATTCTATATTTTTAGCAGAAACAAGAAAGAAGTTACTATGGTTCTTAACCTAAGATGCCTAAACCTCAGGTTTTGGCTTGTTGTTTTAAAATGATGCCAAAGGGCTATGCTATCTACTAACATAATAGATTAATACCAAGCAGAATGCACTGGGGCTAGCTATTCACCATTTTTGGAGTAGAGTAGGCAGAGGAAAGGGCACTTGGTGACGTAGTCAGAAAGAAATCATGTGACAATGTGTTATAATGCCTTACACTGTTGTAAAAATTCATGGTTTTTAAATGATTTGGTAAATATCTCATTTGAAACTCATACTAATTCAGAGAGGAGATCCCAATTTAATGAATGAATAAACTGAGGCTCATTAAATTCCTTGTCTAGGTTTGCATGGCCGGTAAATGGTGAAGTTGAAATTAGATCTCTGATTTTTGACTTGGTCAATACATGCTGTTTGACCACAAATAGTGTCATTGAAATGTCTTACTTAATTCAAGTATTAATGTAAATGGACATTGACTTCTTTGAAAAGACGAATCAGGGTTATATTTGCTTTATAAATACATCATACTATTTGCAATTATTATTAAATACTACACTTTTTATTTAAACAAGGCACACTGCGTCTTGATGACATTTGCTGAGCACTCATGATCCAACTCTGCTTTAATTCTCTATTGCTTTAGAATTTTTATTATATTCCTTTATTCCCCTTTTAATTCAATTTTAGTTTTCTTTCCATCAGTTGAAAGCAAAAATTAACATTTCATGAATTTTTATTTACAATGAAAGTTTAAAATGAATGCTACACATAAAATAGAACTTTTTTGTCATAAAATATGCATAACAAAATTTGCTATTTTAACCAATTTTAAGTATGTAGTTTTATGGCATTCAGTACATTCACATAGTTGTGCAACCATCACCACCACCTGTCTCCAGAACTTTTTTATCTGTACCAACCTGAAACTCTGTAGTCATTAAATACTAACTGCCCATTCTCCCCCACCCTCAGCCCCTGGCAACCACCATTCTTATTGTGTCTATGATTTTAACTACTCCAGGTACCTCACATCAGAGGGATTATATATTTGTTTGTTTGTTGACTAGCTTATTTCATTTAGCATAATGTCTTCAAGTTTCATCTATGTTGTATAGCATGCGTCAAATTTTCCTTCCTTTTAAAGGCTGAATAATTCGCTGTATGTATATACCACATTTTGCTTATTCATCTGTCCATGGACATTTAAGTTGCTTCAGTGTCTTGGCTACTGTGAATAACCAACCTGTCTTCATCCTTCCCTCTCCCCATCCTTCCCAACTTCTGTCTGGTTATCACCAGTCTATTCTCTACCTCTATGAGATCCACTTAATTAGCTCCCACATATGAGTGAGAACATGTGGTATTTCTCTTTCTGTGCATATTTCACTTAATATCATATCCTCCAAGTTCATCCATGTTGCCACGAATGATGTGATTTCATTCTTTTTTATGGCAGAATAGTATTCCATTGTGTATGTATACCACATTTTCTTTATCCTTCATTCATCAATGTACATTTGAATTGCTTCCACCTCATGGCTATTGTGAATATTGCTGCTATGAATATGGGCTTACAAATACCTATTCAAATCCCTGTTAAATATCTTTTGGTATATATAGAAGTAGAATTGGTGGACCATATGGTAATTCTATGTTTAGTCTTTTGAGAAACAACCATACCATTTTCCACAGAAACTGCATCATTTTACATGTCTGCCAGTGATATATGAGGATTTCAGTTTTTCTTTTTTCTTTTTTTTTCTGGGACAAAGTGTCTGTCGCCCAGGCTGGAGTACAGTGGCACGATCTTGGCTCACTGCAACCCTTGCCTCCTGGGTTCAAGCAATTCTCGTGCCTCAGCCTCCCAAATAGCTAGGATTGCAGGTGCCTGCCACCACACCCAGCTAATTTTTGTATTTTTAGTAGAAACGAGGTTTCACCATGTTGGTCAGGCTGGTCTCAAATTCCTGACCTCAAGTGATCCACCTACCTTGGCCTCCCAAAGTGCTGGGATTACAGGTGTGAGCCACCGCGCCTGGCCAGATTTCAGTTTTTCTATATACTCCTCAACAATTGTTATCTTCTGTTTTTCTTTTTTAATTGTGGAAAAAACAAATACCATGTAATTTCCCATCTTAGTCATTTTTAACTGCACAGTTTAGTACTATGTTTATATTGTTGTAGAACAGATTCCCAGAATTTTTTCCCCTTGTAAAATGGAAATTCTATACCTATTTAACAGCTCTTAATTTTCCTCTCCCCCACCTGCTGGCAACCACCATTCTACGTTCTGTTTCTATGAGTTTGACTACTTTAGATAACCCATAAAAGTAGAATCAGACAGTGTTTGTCTATTTGTGACTGACTTATTTCATTTTGCATAATGTCCTCATAATCTGTGTTGCAATATGTGACAGGATTTTGTTCTTTTTTTTTTTTTTTAAGACGGAGTCTCGCTCTGTTGTCCAGGTTGGAGTGCAGTGGCATGATCTCAGCTCACTGCAATCTCCGCCTCCCAGGTTCAAGCGATTCTCCTCCCTCAGCCTACCAAGTAGCTGGGACTACAGGCATTTGCCACCACATCCAACTAATTTTTTGTATTTTTAGTAGAGACAGGGTTTCACTGTGTTAGCCAGGATGGTCTTGATCTCCTGACCTAGTGATCCGCCCACCTTGGCCTCCCAAAGTGCTGGGATTACAGGCGTGAGCCACCGCACCCAGCCAATTTTGTTCATTTTTAAGGCTAATATCCTATTGGGTTTATAATGCCACATTTTCTTTTTCTTTTTATCTTTTTTTAAAATTTTATCTCTTAATTTATTTTTTATTTCAATAGGTTTTTGGGAGCAGGTGATGTTTGCTTACACAAATAAGTTCTTCAGTGGTGATTTCTGAGATTTTGGTGCACTCATCGTCCAAGCAGTGTACACACTGTACCCAGTGTATATACCACATTTTCTTTATGCATTTATCTCTGCCAGTGGACTTTTGGGTTGCTTTTTACCTCTTGGCTATTTTGAATAATAGCTGCAGTGAACATGGATATGCAGATATTCCTTTAAGATCTTGTTTTCCATTTTTTTGGGTGTATGCCCCAAAATGGGATTATTGTATCATATGGTGATTCTAATTTTAAGTTTTTTCCAGGAAGGTCTATATGGTTTTCCGTAACAGCTGCACCATTTTGCATTTCTAGACACAATGCACAAAGGTTCCAATTTTTCTACATCCTTGCCAACAGTTGTTATTTTCTGTTTTGTGTATTTTTTTAATAGTGGCCATTCTAACTGGTGTGAGGTGATATCTCATTGTGATTTTGATTTGCATTTGTCCAATGATTACTGATGTTGAACATCTTTTCATGTGCTTGTTGGCCACCTGTCTCTCATCTTTAGAGAAATGTCTATTTATATTCTTTGCCCATTTAAAAATCAGGTTATTTGCTTTTTTGTTTCTTAATTGTAGGATTTCTTTATATATTCTAACCCTTTATTAGAAATATTATTTGCAAATATTTTCTCCCATTCTGTAGGTTGCCTTTTCACTCTGTGAATTGTGGTATTTACATGGAAATTTTACGTTTTGATGTAGTTCAGTTTATTTTTAACTTTTTTTGCCTGTGATTTGGTGTCAATATGTGAGAAATTGCCAGATTCAATGCCATGAAATTTTTCCTTTATGCTTCTTCTAAGAGTTTTATAGCTTTAGCTCTTATGTTTAGGTCTTTGATCCATTTTGAGTTAAATTTTGCGTATAGCTAAGGTAATGGTACCATTTTATTGTTTGGCATATGGATATCCAGTTTTCCCACCACCATTTGTTGAAAACACTGTCCTTTTCCTGTTGAATTGTGTTGGCACCATTGTCAAAAATCATTTGACCTTACACGTAAAGGTTTATATCTGGGCTCTCTATTCCACTGATCTGTATGTCTGTCTTTATGCCAGTACCAGACAATTTTTATTATTGTAGCTTTGTAATATGTTTTGAAGCCAGCAGGTGTGAAACTTGCATCTTTTGTTTTGGCTGTTTGGGGTCCCTTGAGATTCCATATGAATTTTAGGATGCGTTTTTCTGTTTCTGCATGCACACACAAAATGCTGTTGGGATTTCAATAGGGATTGCATTAAATCTGTAGATCAATTTGGGTAGTATTGACATCTTAACAATATTAAGCCTTTCAATTCAAAATCATGGGATATCTTCCATTTATTTGTGTTGTCTTTAATTTCTTTCAGCCATACTTTGTAGTGTTCAGAATACATGTCTTTTGCCTCTTTATTTTCTCTAAGTTTATTCTTAAGTGTCTTACTCTTTTTGATGCTAAAATTGTAAATGGGATTATTTTCTTAATTTCCTCTTTGGATTGTTCACTGTTAGTGTACTGAAATGCAACTGATTGTTGTGTGTTGATTTTGTATCCTACAACTTCGCTAAATTCGTTTATTTTTACAGTTTTTTTTTGGTGTGGAATCTATAAGGTTTGCTATATCTAAGATTATGTCATCTGTGAACAGAGATAATTTTACTTCTTCCTTTCCAATTTGGATGCCTTTTATTTCTTTTCTTGCCTAATTGTTCTGGCTAGGACTTCCAGTACTATGATGAATAGAAAAAAATAGAAAATTTTTTGTAGAATTTTTTTTGCGAAAATGGATGCATCCCTGGACTTTTTATAGTACATGGTAGAATATATGTACTATAAATAGAATATGACTTCAGAAATCCCCATTTTTCTTCCTAGTTAGAATTTTTTAAGTAGAAAAGACTTTATTTTCATGTAGAGGCAGCTTTTCTTATAAGGCCAGTTTGATATTAATGGTAATTTTTGGTTAAGTGATATTCTTACACTGAAACGATTGCATTTGAGTTTTTAAGCATTATGGTATTTTCCTGTGGTCTGTACTTATGTCATGTTCTTATTTCAGTATCCTAAGTTCATGTCCTCAGAGGATTAGGTGGTACTATCCTGTTAACTTCCACTCCCTCTCTTTTGTATATCAATTACTCTTGAATTGCCAAAATATTTTGCAGCCTGGCATATTTTATCAGTTTGAATTTTATTTTAACCCAGCAATGTTTTGTCTGACCTCTCTGTGTTTACTTTTTCAACTTTAGTTTACTACAGAGCAGTTATTTTTATAGAACATTATGGTCTTTTCACTTGGTCATTATTGTCATACTCTTTTTGATTATTCTTTTTGTACTTAAGATTTAATGCTTATGCCAAAGCATTCAAACACATGAGATAGGATATGGTCAAAATAAGAATGGCAAAATGATGGTAATTGTTGAAACTCAGTAATGGGTACAAAGGATCATTCTCTCTTCTTTCATGATATTTTTACAATAAAATGTTCATGCACACACACACAAACACACACACACACTTCCTGTTTAAAATAGCAGTTCTTTAGGCTCTGTATTTGCAGTCTGACCTTTATTTAAAAGTCATTGTTGATTGGGCAGGTTCGTACCTTTAATCTTAGCACTTTGGGAGGCTGAGGGCAGGCAGATTGTTTGAACTCAGGAGTTCTAGACCAGCCTAGGCAACAAAGTGAGACATTGTCTCTACAAAAAATAAAAAAATTAGCTAGGTGTGGTGGTGCATGCCTGTGGTCCCAGCTACGTTGGAGGCTGAGGTGAGAGGAAGTTGAGCCTCAGTATCCTGAGGCTTGAGCTTGGGAAGTTGAGACCACAGTGAGCTATGTTTGTGCCATTGCAATCCAGCCTGGGTGACAGAACGAGACCCTGTCTAAAAAAATTAAAAAGAAAATCAATGTGGCAAATAGGATTTTTCTAGTAAATAATAAAATCTAATAGTAAGATGATAGAGTTTGATGATGCCCCAAATAAAAAATAGATTATCTTTCATATATTCTCTATACTTCAGTGATTTTCCCCATCTTTTTATTTTAAAAAGTTTTAAATTAGAGAAAAGTTGAAAGAATAGTAAAATAAACACCCCTTACCCATAACCTAGATTTGCCAGTTGTAAAACCTTTGCCATGTTTGTGTTATCTCCCTCTATAGATATCTTTACTGATTTTTTGTCTGCCTGTTTTATCAATTATTTATAAAAGGATATAAAACTATTTGACATAATTGTAGATTTTCAAATTTCATTCTTTTTTATTTTTGCTACATTTATATCAAACTCTGTTGTTATGTGCAAACACACTTAGGATGTATTGGGTGTATTAGTTCATTAGGGATGCTGTAACAAATTACCACAAATTTGATGGCTTAAAACAATACAGATTTATTTTTTTACAAATCTGGAGATTAGAAGTGTGAAATGAGTTTTAAGGGACTAAAATCAAAATGTCAGCAGAGCTGGTTCCTTCGGAACACTGTAAGTTAGTTTTCTGTTTGTTTGTTTTTGGTTTTGTTTTTTTTGTTTGTTTGTTTTTTTGGTTTTTGGAGGTTGTCCACTTCCCTTGGTTAATGGCCCTGCATCGTATCACCTTTTCTCCTCCTGCTTCCATTCTCACAGTGCCTTCTTCTGTAATCAAATCTCCCACTGCCTCTATTTTATAAAATCACTTGTGATTTTATTAGGGCCTATCCAGGATAACCTCCCCATCTCAAGACCCATGGCATATCTGCATTGTTCCTTTTAGCATGTAAGGTAGCATTTCACAAATTCTGAGGATTAGGTTGTTGGATATCCTTAGAGTACATTAATATGCCTAGCACAGATGGCAGCACTTCCCAAATTGTTTTATAGATTCAGTGCAGTCCTTATCAGAATCCGAATTGGTGTTTGCTGCAGATATTGTAAAATGATCCTAAAATTCATACTGGAATGCAAGCAACCCAGAATAGCTAAAACAAATTCTAAAAAGAATAGCCAAAATCAACTTGAGAAAGAACACAGCTGGAGGACTTACACATACTGATTTTAAAACTTAGTACAGAGCTACAATAATTCATACAGTCTGGTAATGGCATAAAGATAGATATGTAGATCAGTGAAATAGAATTGAGAGTCCAGAAATAAACTCTGACATTTATAGTTAATTAATTTTTAACAAGAATGTGAAGACAATGTAATTGGTAATGAATAGTCTTTTCAAAAAATTGTCCTGGGACAACCAGTGTCTACATGCAAAAGAATGAATATATATCACTTCCTCATACCATGCAAAAAAGGAACTAAAAATGTATCATATACCTAAAGATCTAAAACCATACAATCTGTTAGAAGAAAACATGAGTAAATTATTGTGACCTTGGTTTCTGAGATAAAACACCAAAAGCACAAGTGACAAAAGGAAATGAGATAAATTACACTTCATCAAAATTTAAAACTTTTGCACATTAAAGGACATTATCAAGAAAGTGAAAAGACAATCCACAGAATCAGAAAAGATGTTTTTAAATCATGTATCTGACACAGGGTGCTTGCATACAAAATATATAAAGGACCCTTACAACTCAAAAAAGACAACCCAACTGTATTAGTCCGTTTTCATGCTACTGATAAAGACATACCCAAGAGTGAGCAATTTACAAAAGAAAGAGGTTTAATGGACTGACAGTTCCATGTGGCTAGGGAGGCCTCATTATCATGGTGGAAGGTGAAAGGCACGTCTCACATGGCAGCAGATGAGAGAAGAGAACTTGTGCAGGGAAACTCTCCTTCATAAAACCATCAGATCTCATGAGACTTATTCATTGTCACAGGAAAGACCCGTCCCCATAATTGGATTACCTCCCACCAGGTCCCTCTCACAACATGTGGGAATTTTGGGAGCTACAGTTCAAGATAAGATTTGGGTAGGGACACAGCCAAACCATATCACCAACTAAAAAATGAGCAAAAGCCAGACACAGTCCTGTAGTCCCTGCTACTCTGGAGGTTGAAACAGTAGGACTGCTTGAGCTCCAGGAGTTGGAGATCAGCCTTGGCAACATAGCAAGACCCCATCTCTTAAAAAAAAAAAAAACTGGGCAAAGACTTGAATATAGGCGTTTCTCCAGAGAAGATGTGCAAATGGCCAATGAGCACATGAAAAGGTGGTCAGTATCATTAGTCATTAGGAAAATGCAAATCAAACCACAATGATATACCACTTTACACCCCCAAGAATGACTAAAATTAAAAAGACATATGGTAACATTCTACTCCCTCTGAGCTGTCAGATCCATAATATGCTACTCTTCCAAGATGATATTTTATTTAGTTCCTTTGAAGGATTAAGTAAAATATGGTTGTTCCCTAAAGATTCCCTATAGTAAGGGACAGCTAAAATATTTTAGATAAAATTTTAAGTGGTACTCTTAGTAATATTCTGTTACTTAGTATCTTTCATTGTACAATAGGTTTGTCACACACTCATTCTTGGCTTTTTTTAAACAGCAGACAAGAAATGTTCATGGTGGAATTGACATGGTGACCTCCATTTTATTTAGCAAAATATCTGATGCCTGTGCTTCAAGCCAATATAGTTTTTGTTCTACCTTCCTAACTTCTCTTTATAAGCATATTCATTCATTATGCAAATTGTGTTTAGTAGCTCAAGAGCTCTTGAGCTAAGAAAATATGAGAACTTGCTAGTAATACGCCAGTGAGTGTTGTGTAGAAGATTAAACAGCTCATCCTGCAGCTGCTCTGCATGTGGAACCTTCACTGACTTCAATTCTCAGTTAACTCTTTTGGTCTATAGCTTCAGGCCTAAATTGGGGGTTGATTGAAGATAGAAAAAAAATGAATATAACAGAGAGAAGATGTTTTAGTTTCCTAGGGCTACTGCAGCACATTACTCAAACTGAGTGCCTTAAAACAACAGAATTATTCTTACATAGTTCTGGAGGCTAGAAGTTTGAAGTAAAGGTGTTAACAGAGCCATACTCTCTCTGAAGGCTCTAGGGGAGGAATCCTTCTTTGCCTCCTGTAGCTTTTGGTGATTGTGGTCATTCTTGTTGTTGCTTGACTTATAAATGTGTCATTCCAGTCTCTGCCTCTATCTTCACATGGCTTTCTCCTAGGTCTCTGTGGCTTTACATGGCATTCTCCTCTCTGTAGCTGGGTCCAAATGTTCCTTAAAAGGTGTCTTTTAGGGGCACCAGTCATTGGATTAGGGGCCACCCTAATCCAGTTTAACTTTATTTTAACTAGGATAGTAGCAGGAGGCAGACAAATCCTAAGCAGACAGGGGCAGGTCCCTGATGAAACCCCACCTTCAAATGAAAGACAATTTAAAGTGTGAAGGCCAACCTACAAGTCTTATATAAATCCGCATACCATATTGAGAACCTCTCTTCCTGTTTGGCGTACTTTCCTCTTATTGATCCCCACCTTTCACCTGTTTTACATATACCTACCCTTTCCTAATTGGTTTTTTATACTGTCGAGCCCACCTTTGAGTGGTGCCTTGGTTGTAGTCTTTTTTGCATACTCACAAACCAGTCAGCACGCACTTCCCATTCTGAGCCCATAAAAGCTTCGGACCCAGCCACACTGAAGGAGAGATACCCGCCTTTGAGTGGGGGACCACCCTCATATCCCCTCTCTGCTGAGAGCTGTCCTGTTGCTTAATAACACTCTTCTCTGCCCTTCTCAACCCTTGATGGTCAGTGTAATGTCATTCTTCTTGGATGCAGGACAAGAACTTGGGAACTGCTGAATGTGTGTATGAGCTGTAACATGGGTGGGCTGGGGCAATCCCAGCCCAGCCACAGGCTGAGCTGGTGCACGAGCAAGGCACAGCCCAGTGGGCTGAGTGGGTAGGATGTCTCCAGTGGCAGGCCTGGGGCTGAGCGAGGCTTCGGTGGAGGCGTCACCAGCTGGAGGAGGTCCAGCTGGCAAAAGTCACCGAGAAAAATCCAGTGTCAACTGTATTACACCTGGGAAAACCCTGCTTCCAAGTAAAGTCACATTTACAGGTACTGAGGGTTAAGACTTCAGTACATCTTTTTTTGCATAATACAATTCAGTCCATAACAGAAGAGTATATATTTTTGTCCTAAAATGTATTTAATTCTCAAGTTGTGAAATAATTTGTGTGTGCAGTGTTTTCACAGGGAGTTAACATGAAGGGAGTTTAGTGAAGAAAAGTGAATAAGAGAAGAAATTATCAAGTTTGGGCCATGTCAATTTTGATGTATAGGAAAAGCCAAATCTCAGTTGCTGATCTCTGGTCACCTCTCTTGAAGTCCGTGGTAGTTTGGAACCCTCCATTATTTTCCTTACCTCATGACCTCCACTCTTCAGCTGGACTCCAGTGTGGTCTATCTATATAGCCTTACTTTTGGAGAGAGGTCAGTAAAGTGTTTATGATCATATAGATGAACAAGACCAGAGGAATTGATTTTTGTGGCCAGGTTTGTCAGATTGGCCCTTCACTGCTGTCGTGCAAACCTCGAAACCCATATTATCGAATAGTAGTCAGAGATTACTCGGATATTTTTCTGGGGCTGCAACCACTGTCAGTTTCTTTAAGTACTTCATCTTTCTCCAGAACTCCAGTTCCTTACTGAAGTTAGGGTTCCTAGTTGAGATCAACTGAATCTACTATACCCAATTTAAGTAGAAAGGATTTATTATAAGATTTTAGAATGTATAAAGAGAACAAAGTTTTACAGGTCTAGAGAATCAAACTTTGATCTGAATGCCCCAGACAGTTGAAACACACAGCTACACTATGGGGCCATTCTAGCAACAACACTGCAATGGACAGAATGTTTATGTCTCCCCCAAATTCATATTTTGAAATTCTTACCTCCTAATGTGGTGATATTAGGAGGAAGGGCTTTTGAGAAGTTATTAGGTCATCATGGTGGAGCCCTTATGAATGCTATTAGTGTCTTTGAAAAAGGGATCCCAGAGAGCCCTCTTGCCCTCTTCTGCCATATGAGGATACAAGCCTACAGCCCAGAAGAGAGACCTTACCAGAAGCTGACCATGTTGGCACCCTGATCTTGAACTTCCAGCTTCCAGAATTGTGAGAAGTAAGTTTCAGTTGTTTATAAGCCACCCAGTTTATGGTACCTTGTTATAGCAGCCTGAACTAAGACAAACACCATTTGCGTCACTTTCCAAATCCTGCCTTAGTAATTATGAACTTGGGCAAGTTAATTAACTGCTGTGTGCCTCAGTTTGATCATCTGTAAAGTGGAGCAGATAAATGTATTAAATGAGTTGTTGTATTAAATGAGTAATATACAGGTTCTTATAACAGTGTCTGGAGACATAGGGTCTGTAGTGCTCGAGCTGCTATAACAAAGTACCACAAACTGGGTGGCTTAAATAACAGAAATGTGTTGTCTTACAATTCTGGAGGCTAGAAGTCCAAAATCAAGATGTCAGTAAGTTTGCTTCCTTGTGTGGTCCATAAGGGAGAAGCTGTTCCATGCCTCTTGCCTAGCTTTGGTTTGCTGGCAGTCTTGGGAGTTCTTTGGCTTATGGAAACTTTACCCCCGTCTCTGCCCTTGTCTTCACATAGCATTCTCCATGTGTGGGTATTGTCCAAGTTTCCTCTTTTTATAATATAAGGACACTAGTCATATTGAATTAGTGGCAACAGTCCTATGTTTAAATAAGCTCACATTTTGAGGTACTGGGAATTAGGACTTCAACATATGAATTTTAGGGAGACACAGTTCAACCCATAACACATAGTAAGCATTATATGAATGTTTATTATTATTGTTATTTCTGATGACTTATTGTATTATCACCCCAGGTAGTTCTTCTAACCTTTTACATCAGCGTATTGCATCTGTAATGTGTAGATTAGAGAGTAGATATTCTGAGTTAACTTAAAGCCCTTAAAATTTGCAGACCTTAGTAATTACCATTAATAATGTTTATGTTATTTCTTCATAGTAAGGACTCTTCTGACTGTGGATATGTGACTCTCATAATACCTATATAATATTTCTTGTGTTTTTTTTTTTTTTAGTAAAATTCAGAAATAGAATAAAAATTAATCTGACTAGAAGTTGTTACGGTATCATGTATATGAAGATTCTGTGGTCATTAATGTTTATATGATGGAGACTCTTCATAGGAGAGTAGGATATAAATAGATGTGTATCTTCCTCATCTTTTTTTTTTTTTTTTGGAGACAGAGTCTCACCCCTGTATTATTGCTTGTAAGTGCTTTATACTATATTAATAAGACCCTTTATTGACCTGATTTTTAAAGGAGTAAACAAAGGGCTTCTATCAGTGGATTTATATGGATTTTGTTTCTTTTAGTATTGCGTCTAAACCAGTATGAAGTAGTCACTGTGTTTTTCTAAGTGTGTTCCATGGGTTTTAGTCTTACTGGATCTTTTGAAAAATCTGAAGGGAAAAAAGTGGGGGATGGATGGTATCCTGTGGATAAATAGATGTGGGAAATGTTATATATTATATTCTTCTTTTGGATGTTCATTGTGCACAGTAATGGTTTTGAGGAGTATTGTGGTAAAGTACCTACTTAATTTTGTGTTTACCCTAGGATTCCCTTAAGTTATAACACCTATTAATATATTGCAAAGTCAGTGTCCACTAAGCTTTTAATTTTTTGGAGTGCTTGGACCTGAGTGAAGCAGACCCTCTAGCATCCATAATTAAGAATTATGTGATCAAGTTTAGCTCTTTGGGAACAAAACACTTTAATGTATATAAGGGTATCATGCAGGATTTTGGATAGGGGACAGCCTGGTTTATAATTCTGTTTTCTAGTCTGTCAAAAAAGGTATAATGTAAATGTAGAATTAATATCTGTTTCCGTCTTTATACAGTGCTAAGCATATAGGCATTTAATGGCTGTTTGAAATAGAAAATCCTTCTTGATGTCTTTTGTAAGCATAGTGAAGAGGGAAAATGCTTTTTTCAGGGGTTGAATAAACCCCATAGCTCTGTTTGATATATTTCTTTTGCAGTTTTTCTTTTTTTCAAAAAAAAAAAAAAAGTTTTGTTGAGGTATAATTGGTGTCAATAACCTGCACTTGTTTAAAGTATATAACTTTATACATTTTTATATATTTATAGGCCTGAGAAAGCATCAACATAATCAAGATAATAAACATATTTATCACTCCCAAAAGTTTCCATGTGAAACCTCCCTTCCACCCTTCTCTGAAAACCCCTCCAGGCCCCAGGGAACCACCAACCTACATTTTTTATTTATTTATTTTTTATTTGGAGACAGACTCTCGCTCTGTTGCCCAGGCTGGAGTGCAGTGGCATGACCTCAGCTCACTGCAACCTCTGTCTCCTGGGTTCAAGTGATTCTTGTGCCTCAACCTCCCGAGTAGCTGGTACTACAGGCACGCACCACCACACCCTGCTAATTTTTTGTATTCAAGTAGAGACGGGGTTTCATGATGTTGCCCAGGCCGGTCTCAAACTCGTGAGCTCGGGCAGTCCGCCAGCCTCAGCCTCCAGAAGTGTCAGGATTATGGATGTGAGCCACTGCGCTCAGTCTCACTAACCTACATTCTACTTTGCATTTTCTAGAAATATTTTGCAATCTGTGTCATCTGTTCATTGTTTTCCTGCATTCTTTTCATTATTTTTAAATTTTACCTCATTTGTTGACTTATTAGCTATAGAATCTTAGTTTGTTGTTAAAGGGTTCATAGTAAACAATTCTAAATTATCAGTGTGTATCTTCCTTGCATTCCCAGAAGAAATTCCTCATGGTCATGGCATATTATTCTTTTCATATGTTGCAAGATTCTGTTTGCTAATATTTTCTTGATATTTTTGCATCTCTGCTCTTGAGGGAGATTATTTTGTAGGTTTTTTTTTTTTGTAATGTCTTTGGTTTTTGTATTAAGGTAATCACATTTGCTAGTGTTTTGAAGACTTTTGTGTATATCTCTTGAGGGATAATGTTCTGTAGCATTCTTTGTTTCCCTACTTTTGGGAAATGTTCCCTCTCTCATTGTATAGAATTGATTTCTTTTTTCAGTGATAATGAAAACATCTGGGCCTGTTGATTTCTTATTCAGAATGTTTTAAACTACAAATTCAGTTCCCTTAATGTTCTAGATCAACTCAGATAATCTTGTATGAGCTCTGGTCGTTTTGCTAAGTTGTTCAGTTATTCATAGTTTTCCACGATGATATGTCTGTGAGGTCCATAGTTATATCTTCTTTTTAATTCCTGTTACTGATACACTTAATTCTTCATCACATCCCTGCCTGATTAAGAAATTCAGACTAAAATCTTTTACAAAAGCAAATATCAAAATATAAAAGTGTGGTTTATAGAGGGTTATCTAGAAGACTGATGAACAGTAATCTGGAGAGGAAAGATGCCTTTTTTTGATCCGTTCAACAAACTTTGTATCTTTGAAATTAAAATAAATTGTATTGCAAAGATTAAGGCTTATCACAACAACCACATTTGAACTCTTTCTGAAGCATCAATCTTCTTGGCTGCAATCATATCAGATACTCTACAAAGAACACAGCTACTAGAGAATACTGAGATAAATAACAAATTTAAATTAAGACAAAACAAAACAAACAACCATTAAATAACACCAAACAACATGAATGTTTAAGGGTTATAATATTGACAGAACTAATTTATCCAATCACAAATGAGATTTGGGCTTTCCACATACTGAATAGTGTTCCAGAAGCCAAGGAGAATAATGTTCCAGAAGTCACTTAAATCTAAGGTAGTCCAGTTTTTTAAAAATTGCTTTAAAGATACATCCACACACAGACACATAAACACACACAGAGTCATGGCTTGCTTTTTTTTTTTTTTTAAGTTTCATTAAAGAAACCTTAGAGAACACAGAAGTTAGTGGAAAATGTCATCCAAAACTCCAAGGACAACTACATATACATTTGATTTTCAGTTCATTATTCTGGATGCAAATAGTGTTTTATTTTTATTTATTTGTATTTTAGTTTAGTTTTGTTTTGTCTGAAATAGAGTCTTGCTCTGTCACCCCAGGCTGGAGTACAGTGGCACAATCACAGCTCACTGCAACCTCCGCCTCCGGGGTTCAAGCGATTCTGCTGCCTCAGCCTCCCAAGTAGCTGGGATTACAGGAGCATGCCACCATGTCCGGCTAATTTTTGTATTTTTAGTAGAGACAGGGTTTCACCATGTTGGCCAGGTTGGTCTTGAACTCCTGAACTCAGGTGATCTGCCTGCCTGTATTTGGAATACTTTAATCATATTTAAGTAGAGATCTGATGATGAAACATGTCTTTGAAGAAAAATATTTTAAAGACAATTTTTCACATACAGTTGCAGAGTGTTGCTAATAAGGTGTAATATAATTGAAAACACAGTAAAATAAAATTATAAGGCAAAAATTTTAAAGTCGTGGTATTTGCACAGAAACGCAAATGGCTTATAGAGAACAGAGAACATAATAATGTGGGCTTAAAATTTTAAGATTTTAATATGTGATAGCCTAAATATAATTAGACAAATAGAAAAATTATAAATAAAAGCTCACAATATATAAAACCAATAATTTAAACAAAATTAATGAATACAATGCTTATTCCAACTAAAAATAATTTCTTAACCTTTAAAGAATGAATGAATTACAAAAAATATTTTACCACCAATTATCTATTTTTTTCTAATAGTAAAAATAAAAGAAAAAGAAAAAGAGAATGGAGGAGGTATATTTATCAAATGAAATAGAGAAAGGCATCATCATCAAAAACACATAAAGAATTTATAGATTTTTTTTTTTTTTTTGAGACGGAGTTTCACTCTTGTCGCCCAGGCTGGAGTGCAATGGCACAATCCTGGCTCACTGCAACCTCCGCCTCCCAGGTTCAAGCGATTCTCCTGTCTCAGCCTCCTGAGTAGCTGGGATTACAGGCATCTACCACCATGCCCAGCTAATTTTTGTATTTTTTGTAGAGACAGGGTTTCACCATTTTGGCCAGGCTAGTCTCGAACTCCTGACCTAAGGTGATCCACCCGCCTCGGCCTCCCAAAGTGCTGGGATTACAGGCGTGAGCCACTTTGCCTGGCCAAGAGTTTATAGTTTTAAATGGGAAGATAACCAAAGCCTATTAAATAACACGTTCATGTAACAGAATAACCATAAGTCTATATTTGAAAACCTATTAAACCTTTTTAATAATCTTTGAAATTAATCTTTACATAAAATGAAATAGTAAATATTCACTGAAACATCTTTAAAATATGTAAAAATATATTTCAATTAAAAGTTATTTCTTACAAAAATTTTAGAGAAAACAGGTACATCTTTTCAGAGGCCAAATATTACATGATAGAAAGAATACAGAACTAGAAATGAGAACACCTGTGCTTTAATTATGCTCAATTCTATGACCCAAGAAAAATCACTAAACTTTTCTGAGACTCCAACAGTGAAGATTAAAAAACCTGTGTTGCTAACCAAGTAGGGTTGTATGGAGCAAGTAAGGCAATATGCATGAAGCACGTTTTGTAGACCATAAACAACTACATGTAAGTTATTAGTTATTATTTTCATAATAGGGTATTATTCTTTTGATCGGGATAGGGAGAAGAAGCACCCGGAAGAACATGTAGAGATAATCTTAAGGAGTTCAGGTATTACAGAAAACAAACACAGGTTAAAATTTGTTTGTTTGTTTTGAGACGGAGTCTTGCTCTGTCGCTCAGGCTGGAGTGCAGTGGTGCAATCTCGGCTCACTGCAACCTCCGCCTTCCAGGTTCAAGTGATTCTCCTGCCTCAGCCTCCTGAGTAGCTGGGACTACAGGCGTGTGCAACCACGCCTGGCTAATTTTTCTGTATTTTTAATAGATATGGGGTTTCACCATGTTAGCCAGGATGGTCTCGATCTCCTGACGTCGTGATCCACCCGCCTCGGCATCCCAAAGTGCTGGGATTACAGGCGTGAGCCACCGTGCCCATCCTAAAATTTGTATTTTTCTGACTAGTTCTTAATTGATACCATCACATAAACTATGCATAGAATAGCCTCAGGCTTAAGTAAACTCCTTTAGCTGAATCTTTATATTTCAAGTCTAAGGCACTTCTCAGGACATGTTCATCTTTCTTGTTCTTCAAAGCTTCATGGAAATTTAGAATCAAAAGTCTTCTTTTTTGTGTCTCTCACAAAAGGGGGAAGGAAAATACCTTACTATTAAAAATGAGAATTAGTTTTCCTTTCCTAAGTCTCACTCTGTGTCTGCTTTGGCTACCACAAAAAATTGCTCAGAGCCAATGGAAAGAAAATACATTGTCCATCTGTTCTTCTGGGCACCATTTTTCCTTTTTTCCTGACTTTCTAACTGTGATACTGTTGATATGACATTATACTTTAAAAACATGAATTTAAACAAAACCTCATCCCTCCATCGTCAACAGAAAGATATTTCAGGTACTTTATTGAATGCCTACCTTCCAATCAGTACCTAGCTAGAAATAACTGTCAATATCTCTCCTTAGATGCCCTAGGTAAAATCAGCAGGGATATATAAACAGTGACCACTACCATAAACTAAGGATCTAATTGACATCTACAGAGCACTCCACCAAGCAAAAACAATACAAATTCTGCTCAACTACACATGGAACATTATCCAATATAGACCATGTTCTGGGTCACAAAACAAACCTTATAAATGTAAAAGAATTGAAATAATACAAAGTATGTTCTTTGGCTGGGCACAGTGGCTCATGCCTGTAATCCCAGCACTTTGGGAGGCCGAGGCAGGCTGATCACTTGAGGTCAGGAGTTCAAGACCAGACTGGCCAACATGGTGAAACCCCATCTCTATAAAAATACAAAAATTAGCCACACGTGGTGGTAGGTGAAGCAGGAAGCTTGAACCTGGGGGCGGGGGATGGGGAGGTTGCAGTGAGCTGAGATTGCGCCACTGCACTCCAGCCTGGGAGACAGAAGGAGACTCCGTCTCAAAAAAAAAAAAAAATTGTTCTTTGATCATAATGGAATCAAATTAGGAAATTTTCTAAACCTTTGAAAATTAGTACATTTTTAAATAATCAAGGGATCACAAAGGATCTCTGAGAAATTTCTCTTTGATTTTGAATTGAGTGAAAATGAAAATACAAAATCAAAATCTGTGAGATGCAACCAACGCAGCAGTTAAGAAGGAATTTAATAACATTGTGTTTTTAGAAGAAAAACTTTGTTATTAGAAAAAGGTCTCAAATCAATAATACAAACTCCTGCCTCAAGAAACTAGAAAAAAGGTAAAATAAATCCAAAATTAGAACTAATAAAGAAGATGAAATCAATGAAATTGAAAACAGGAAAATAGAGAAAAATCAATCAAACCAAAAGTTGACTCTTTGAAAACATCAATAAAATTTGTAATCTCCTAGTAATACCAACGAAGAGGAAAAGGAGGAAAACAAATTACTAATTATATAATAATATTCACTGTTTGCCTATCATATTTGCTATGAGTATTTTCCCAGGCTGTTGATTTTTAAGTTTTTGTTTACATTTTATTTCTTGAGGCCAACATGGTGAAACCCTGTCTCTACTACTAAAAATACAAAAATTAGCCGGACATGGTGGCATGCCCCTGTAATCCCAGCTACTTGGGAGGCTGAGGCAGCAGAATCGCTTGAACCCCGGAGGCGGAGGTTGCAGTGAGCTGTGATTGTGCCACTGTACTCCAGCCTGGGGTGACAGAGCAAGACTCTATTTCAGACAAAACAAAACTAAACTAAAATACAAATAAATAAAAATAAAACACTATTTGCATCCAGAATAATGAACTGAAAATCAAATGTATATGTAGTTGTCCTTGGAGTTTTGGATGACATTTTCCACTAACATCTGTGTTCTCTAAGGTTTCTTTAATGAAACTTAAAAAAAAAAAAAAGCAAGCCATGACTCTGTGTGTGTTTATGTGTCTGTGTGTGGATGTATCTTTAAAGCAATTTTTAAAAAACTGGACTACCTTAGATTTAAGTGACTTCTGGAACATTATTCTCCTTGGCTTCTGGAACACTATTCAGTATGTGGAAAGCCCAAATCTCATTTGTGATTGGATAAATTAGTTCTGTCAATATTATAACCCTTAAACATTCATGTTGTTTGGTGTTATTTAATGGTTGTTTGTTTTGTTTTGTCTTAATTTAAATTTGTTATTTATCTCAGTATTCTCTAGTAGCTGTGTTCTTTGTAGAGTATCTGATATGATTGCAGCCAAGAAGATTGATGCTTCAGAAAGAGTTCAAATGTGGTTGTTGTGATAAGCCTTAATCTTTGCAATACAATTTATTTTAATTTCAAAGATACAAAGTTTGTTGAACGGATCAAAAAAAGGCATCTTTCCTCTCCAGATTACTGTTCATCAGTCTTCTAGATAACCCTCTATAAACCACAATTTTATATTTTGATATTTGCTTTTGTAAAAGATTTTAGTCTGAATTTCTTAATCAGGCAGGGATGTGATGAAGAATCAAGTGTGTGGAGCTTTTTAGATAATTTTATGATTGTGTTCTGAGAATGGCCTCAAGAAATAATATGTAAACAAATAACTTAAAAATCAATAGACTGGGAAAATACAAAATAATAGGAAAATAGCAAATATGATAGGCAAACAGTGAATATTATTATATAATTAATACAAAGGGATTTAAGACAAAAAGGGAGCAAAAATTATTTAGAAATTCTCAAGAGGAAATATAGTTAATAAACAGTATTCAGCTTCATAACTTAGATTAGACTATCAATGAGAACATATTTCTTATAGAAGCATATATAATATTCAAAAACAGTAGTAATATCCAGTGCTATCTGTGGTTAAATTACTCCCATAGATTATTGGAAAAAGCATATAAAGTAGTATAGCCATTTTGAAAAGTAGTTTGATAATTTGTATCAAGAAGCTAACGTGTTACTTTGATCCAATAATTCTGTCTTTGATTCTCTCCCAAGAAAATAATTCTGGATATTGAAAATCTTTATAAAGATGTTTAAAGTAGTCATTTATGATAACAAATATTCCATCTTAAACTGAAGGTTAAGTAAATTTTGGTCATTAATTTGATGAAATATTGGGAGCTGTCAAAAATTGATATTTTTATAAGGACCGTCTTAGGGTAGGTAAATGTATGTAACATTAAGTTAATAAAGAAGACATTGTAAATAAGTATAATTACAAATAATAAGAGCAAAACAACTCATGGGTAAAATTTTAAAAGGATAGATTTAAAAAGAATATAGTAGACATTTACTTTTAAGCTCAATCAAGGTTTTAAGTATTTTAGAAACATCTGAAGGTTGCTTCTGAGACATATATTTGTATGGTGCTCTTTATAAAGTTGGTGTGTAGGAGGGAGCCACTTTTGTTGGTGACTGTCGCCAGCTGCCCAGACCCTGTACCTCAGTTTTTCCTTTCTCTGCACTTTCTCACATAAATATCCAGGAGGAGGATATATGCTGTTTTTCTGTTACTTGAGGATTTGGAGATTCATAAATTTCTGAGATATTGCTGTACAAATTCCAATGCTCCACTGGCCAGTGGTTGCCTCTGTGTTATGGGGTTATATAATTTCCCCTCTTTTTAATATTCCTCTGACTTCTAAAATATCTTTAATGAAAACAGTATTATCTTAAAAGCTTTTATCCAGTTACCAGTTAATAATCTTTGCGTTAAACTCTTCTCCCTGAGGTAATATATTCTGCTTTTCCTATAACGTCCCATCTGCTGTTAATCTCATACAGACATTATACATTTTAACTGATTTGTCTTATTATCCATGTCTATTTGACATGGTCCGTCTTTTTTGATGGGGGAACATATGAAATACAGTTATAGTAACTGTTGTGAAGTCCTTGTCTAAAAATGCTATACTCTGTGCCATTGGTTCATACGTAGTTTTTAATGGGAAAATATAAAAATGCAAAAACACATTTTTAACATATATAAGTTATAATACTGCCCACTAAATTTAAGAATTAGTGTATTAGAATAACGTATCTGCTATCTCTGCTAATTTTTCCAAATGTTGTTAATGTTTCTATGTATCCCAAATAATATATCATTTAGTCTTATGTTTCTCAGTATGAATTACCTGTTGCTGTGTGTGTTTTCTAAAAGTTGTTCCTTAACATTATGTTATTGAGATTCATTGTTACTGATATTTATACCATATGTACATACCTGTCATTTGTCTATTTTCACTCTTCTGTAGTAGTACTTGGAATGAATATATTACAAAATTTTTTTCTTTTATTGATGGTTATTTGTATTTTCAGCTTTGTTTTTAACAGTGCTACTATGAACATTCTTGTACATGTCTTCTGATACACATATATGACAACATTTCTGGGGTATGTGCCTAAGAATGGAATATTTTAGTCATGGGGCATACACATATGAAACCTTATCAGATAGTCCCATATTGTTTTCCAAACTGGTTTTTACTAACTTACAATGTTGCTATTTATATATACACACATATATACATACGTGTATGTGTGTGTATATATACACACATATACATACGTGTATGTGTGTGTATATACACACACATACATACATACGTGTATGTGTGTGTATATACACACACATACATACATACGTGTATGTGTGTGTATATACACACACATACATACATACGTGTATGTGTGTGTATATACACACACATACATACATACGTGTATGTGTGTGTATATACACACACATACATACATACGTGTATGTGTGTGTATATACACACACATACATACATACGTGTATGTGTGTGTATATACACACACATACATACATACATACGTGTATGTGTGTGTATATACACACATACATACATACGTGTATGTGTGTGTATATATACACACATACATATATACATACATGTATTTATATACATATACATATATACATTCATGCACACGTACATATATCCCTATGTATGTATGTTACTGTTGCAATTAACACTGTAATAAATGCGTTTGTGCTCAAATATATTCACCTTTTTCTTCTTTTTTAAAATTATTATTTATTCCCAGAAGCAGAATCATTGATTTAGAGGATGTGATTTTTTTTTCTAGTAGACTAGCCACCTTATTTTAATTTTTGGTATTATTTTTCTTGACTTCTATTTACTTTTTAGAATTTAGTTTTATTTATTATGGAAGTTATACATGTGTAATAAACTCAAATAGCTCTACAAGGTTTGTTTTTAAAAAATGGCAATGCTCTGCCTTCTTCCTGGCCTCATTTACTCTTTCTCAGAGGCAAACTTTTCAGTCTTTTTCAGCTAATTATTTTAGTATTTGCCTCCATATCTGTAAATAATCTGCTTATATTTCCACTTTTTAATTTTTAACTTCTTTGACTCCTCATCATGGTGCATGAAGATTTACCCTCCTCATTCCTTTCAACTTCCAGCACCAACCCAATTTCATACGTGCATTCCTCATTCATCTAGTTTTCTTCTGAATAAATAATTTAGTGCTAACATTGTGGTGAAACATAAGTGCATAGCTGAATTCTTTAGCAAACTGTAGTTGTACTTTCCTTTTTTTGTTTTCATTTACACAAAGGAGGAGGCTAGTAAAAGAAGGGACAGTGGGCCGGGCATGGTGGCTCACGCCTGTAATCCCAGCATTTTGGGAGGCCGAGGCGGGTGGATCACAAGGTCAGGAGATCAAGACCATCCTGGCCAAAATGGTGAAACCCCGTCTCTACTAAAATACAAAAAATTAGCCAGGCGTCGTGACGTGCACTTGTAGTCCCAGCTACCCGGGAGGCTGAGGCAGGGGAATCACTTTGAACCCAGCGGGCGGAGGTTGCAGTGAGCCGAGATCGCACCACTGTACTCCAGCCTGGCAACAGAGCAAGACTGAGTCTCGGAAAAAAAAAAAAAAAAAAAAAAAAAAAAAAAAAAAAAAAAAGGGACAGTGAGGATTTTGGAATCAATAAAGACATTTTCTATTGCAAAATGGAGAACATGTTAGTCAGTGTGAAGCCAGAGGTTCATGAATGGAAGGGCAACTATAATAAACTAGAATAAACCAGAACATTTATTCCGGTAGCCATGTGTACTATTGACTAGAATATTGAAAGCCTAGTAAAATGACTGATGTGCTTGAATTCCCTTTTATCTAATCTAGTAGATTAAATTTTTCTCATGTTAAGTAAACCAAGAGATGATTAATATCATTTCTTTTCCACTAAAAGCACTAGTCTCATAGTTTTCTCCTAAGGAGATGATAAATACATTAAATTCAAATAGATTAGTTTCATTTCCTGCTATATCACTGTGGTATATGAAGGGATCCAAGAGATATTTGTATTAAGTGGCTAGGAAGTTAATTCTGGCTGTGCACTCCACATTTATTAAGGTTTAATTGTCAAGATGTGAGTAATGCTGCCATATTTCAAAATTTGGCATTATATATATTTTTAAACATTTACATATTTTTAAAAGTTAAACTAGTTATTTAATACTTTCATTGTTCTAACCTGGGCAAATTTTTTGAACAGTTATATCTGTTATGATTTTTACATCTTTACCCTTTCAATGTGCAAATTGGAAGAATATCGGAGGAATACTATCTCTTTGAATATAAGCTCTATTCTTTTGAGGCCTGGGATTATCTACTGAAAAGACTGTGGTCAGAAAGACCAGGATTTTAATTCTGTTTTACCGGTTACTAGCCAAGTGAATTTGTTCAGATTACTTAGATTCTTCGGATTTTAGTATCTCCATCTAGGTATGATGAGATTTCTAGCAAGATTGTTTAGAAAATTACAAATAACAGATGCATTAAAGTAATACACACTTTGCGTCTAGCTTAATGTATTATACATGCTATATCTTCAAAAATGTTAGTCATTGTTATTGGAATCATCATCATCATCATTTTGTTCTTGGCTCCAGTCTCTAGATGTGCTTGACAAAGAGCAGATATATAAAGACTTGTAACGCTGATAGTGATTGTATGCATCAGATAAATGGGAGGGGAAATTTAGTATCATAATCCCTCTATTCTTCTGTGGTGAAGGGCAGTCGCTGGGGTTTGTTACTACATTTTTTTCCTGGTTTTTTTTTTTTGTTGTGTTTTTTTCCCTCTGTTGCTACATGTCTCTTACTGAAAAGCAGGTTTGTGGAATAATTAGTAACTAAAATAATATAGACCTTTCTCCCTCCCAGCTCTTAGAGCCCTTTGTACTGCAAATCTAGCATGTTGTTTGGTTACTTCTTAAGGTGAGTGATTGTAAATATGGTTTGGATAACTGGGGAGGTGGAAGCTGGTGGTGGTTATATAATATGATGAAGGCCACTTTTTTGCTTTTAAAAATACTGGGGCCCAGCTACTCAAGAGGTCAAGATGGGAGGATCACTTGAGGCCAGGAGTTTGAGACCAGCTTGAACAACATAGTGAGACCCTGTCTCTTAAAAAAAAAAGAGAATAGTTGGATGTGATGCCAGGTACTGGTAGTACCAGCTACTTGGGAGGCTGAGGTGGGAGGACTGCTTGAGCCCAGTAGTTCGAGACTATAGTGAACTATAATCACATGTGTGACAAGCCACTACACTCCAGCCTGAGCAGTGTATTGAGACTTCCCCCATCTCTTAAAAAAAAAACAACAGCAGCAGCAAAAAAACTGTACTTGCATCTTGAGAATTTTCTGAAAATGTGAGAATATTTATTTACTTTAAAATACTAAATTTGACACTTTTAAATGTGATCTCTTGACATTTCCTTAAACTTGTAATAATCATCATTTCTATTCTTGCCTTACCAAATCTGTCTTATTTGGAGCATTTAACTCCAGCATAAATTACTTATTAAATAGAAAATATTTGGGAAACTGTATTTTTTAAAATACGGATTTTGAATGGCAACCCTGTTTAATAGCGTTTTTTGTTTTTTTTTTTTGAGAAGTTATACATATTTTGATACCTTGATATTTATTCAGTATTGAAATATTTGAATGTGTATGTTTTTGTTTTAAACAGATTATCTTTCTCAAGGAATAGATCTTTCTGGAATAGAAGTGATAGAAAATGATCTACTTTTTATTGCAAGAGCCCGACTTGAAGTGGAAAATCAAGCTAAGCGCCTACTAGAGCAGGGTTTGGAGACTCAGGTAATAAAAATAAGACTTTTTTAATGTAAAAAATGTGTCATAATACAGGTGAACATTTGACTTTGAGTTCAAAAAAGTAATATATGTCTTATAGTAATATATCACTGAGAAAGTATGTCTACAATTTAAATCAAAGAATGGGTCGTTAAGGGAAATTTTAATATATGTTTAATATATTTAATTTAAAAATAGACCTAATGTTTCTAATGTATAATGTATATAACATGAAATGTATTTTTTATGATGTGCATATATAGATAGATAACTAGCTGACCATGCCTGCTTTGTCTAAAGCACGATTCCTCATTTAAGCCCTTCAACAACCCAGTAAGATTGGTATTATTGTTAATTATATTTTGCAGTTGAAGAAACAGAGCTTAAATAAGTTGTTGAAAATCACATAGCTAGTAAATTATTTAGTTTGGATTCAAATTTTAATCACTCTAGTCCCAGAACTTTGCACTCTTAATCATTATGCCATAATTTAAAAAATTTTTGACTTGACATTTCTCCTAAGGTATCATTTTCCTGATGCTTAATTTTCTGAATTGGAAGAAATTCAAAGGTATTGATGTATTAGATTCAACAACTTAGAATTAGATCTTAGATCTACCCTTGTATTATACCCAGATATTTTCTCCGTTTGTATTGGGCTCCAATATAATTATTAATAGAGTTTTTTCATATCCTCTAAATCAGGAATTTCATTTTGTGCATTTATGTTGGACAGAAACAATGTTATTAATGTGCTGTTCTTAAGCCTCTAAATCAAGAAGGTACTTATTTGACTTCTGATTCCTAAATAGTTGTAATTTTTAAAATATAACTGAATCAGGTACTTTTTCTTTTAAAATTGAATATCATATACAAAATGAAAAGTGGACAAATCATAAACTTTCATATAGAATGAATACCACAGTGTGAACATACCTGTGAAATCAAAACCCAGGATAGAAATAGGACATTATCAGTACTCCTAGAGTTTCTTTACCCTCTCTCACAATTTTTACTCTCTTCTGGCTTCCCCAAAGATAATTATTATTCTAACTTCTAACATTAGAGATTACTTTTAGTTGTTTGGTCAATTATGTTTTAACTCTAGGTCTCCCTGTAAGGATGAAACTGTTACACCGTTTAAAAAAAAAAAGAGTATTTCTCTACATTAAATAAGAGAAGATACCTTTTTTTAGATCTTCAAAAGAGAAGGAAAGATAACTCTATTAATCAAACATTTTGCCCTGAATTTCAAAACAAGAAAGGGCAGTTACCTTCCTAAGAAGTGGCCGCTGGATTTGACTCTGTAGCCCTCCATCCTGTATGAATTATGCCTTCTTTGGGATTTTATGCAGGGAATTTATTTTCTATAACATATTGTCCTCTTCCTCATATGGTTGTTTTCATCTCCTAATCCTTTTGTGTCTCCCATCTCTAGGACTTCAGCAGTACTGTTTTCTCTCCATTCTAAATCCCACATCCTGGATGTTACCAATACCTATGGAGATGGTTATTCTCATACGTTGGGCTCACAGTCGTTTGACATCTACTAGCCCAAACTTGAGTCTAGTGCCCTTCCCTTCCATCCTATTTCAGAATCTTTCCCTCCTTATCAACGTTGAATATTGTCATTAGTATCATTTGGTCTAAGTCTCCAGTGTCTCTTCCTTTGACTGTAGCTTCCTGTTTTTTCTGCCCTCCCACTCCCTTGTTCCTGTTATAACTCATAATTCTTTTATTAACCTAAAACATCAATCTGTTGGCCGGGCACGGTGGCTCACACCTGTAATCCCAGCACTTTGGGAGGCCAAGGCGGGCAGATCACCTAAGGTTGGGATTTCGAGACCAGCCTAACCAACATGGAGAAACCCCTTCTCTACTAAAAATACAAAATTAGCCAGGCATTGTGGCGCACTCCTGTAATCCCAGCGACTCGGGAGGCTGAGGCAGGAGAATTGCTTAAACCCAGGAGCCGGAGGTTGCGGTGAGCCGAGATCCTGCCATCACACTCCAGCCTGGGCAACAAGAGCAAAACTCCATCTCAAAAACAAAACAAAATGAACCCATCAGTCTGTTAACTCATCTACAGCATAAATGTCTTTACTACTCGATGGTTTTCTACTCTGTCAACCTCATGTCTGTCCCCTTCTCTGGGTCTACTTATTTTTTTATATTAAATTGATCAAAGATGTGTCTCTTCAACTATTCACCTAACTGATGATTCTCAAACTTCACCATGCATCAGAATTGATGGGAGGACTGGTTAAAACACAGATAGCTGAGCCCAACACCCAGAATTTCTGATTCAGTAGATCTGGTACCAAGAAGTATTCCCCTTGATGATACCCTCAAATTATTTCACCCTTGCCTTTCTACTACTCCTGCACAGCAAAATGCCATCTGTGGACCATGCAACATTTATCCCTATTTTACTTCTATGCCTAGTCTTTTCATTGCTCTTAAAAAACAAAAACAAAACAAACAAAACAAAACAGACAACTGTAAGACTGTTGTAACTAAAATTTATGATTCTTAGATGCAGCTGGGCTTCAATTACTTTTTTATTACGTCCAGTTCCCTCTTCCATTTCACAGATGGTTGTTTCAGATTTTCTTTATTCACTGTAAACCTCCAGTCTCTTCTCTCTCATTGTCATGAGATGATCTTGTCACACTCCTTACAAGGAAAATCAAGGTCACAAGGCATGCATGTTTTTGACTTCATGCAAAGTTCATTCTCAAGGACACAACTCCATCAGATCTCTAACCTTCCTATTTAAGGCTAATTCCACACCATCCTTTCTGCCCTGCTTCTTTACTTTGCTTTTTGGCTTATCTGAATCTTCAACCTTTTCCTTTTTATTAGCAGCAAACAAAGATACTAAAATTTCTCTCACTTGAAAGGAAAAAGGATTCTTCAATGTTAACTGTTTACTTAGTTATATCTTATTATGTAACTATTTCCTAGTCTGTTTACTTCAAACTATTTGGAAGAATAAGCTGCTCTTACTGTCTCCTTTTCTTGACTTCTCATATAGTCCCCAGTCTACACTATTGTGGCTTCTAACATGACTTCTTCAATGAATCTACTGAAAGTAGATTACTTTCAGTAATCTACTGGGTGACTGCTGGGTGACCTCCCAGTTTCCCAAAGGACTTTTTTTTTCTTTTCTCAAATTTTTGATATTGGTAACCATTTCAACTTCTTGACAACCTTTCTTCTCTTCGTTTCTTTATCTCAATCTCTCCTGTTTTCTTTTTTTTTTTTTTTTCCTTGACGTTGCTTTTTGGTTTCTTCATAATTGTAACAATTTCTGCTTACTTCCTTAATCTTTGTGCTCTCTCTGTGTGACCACTTTTTATTCTAAATGCTTTTCCTTGATGATCTCGTATATTCCCATTTGCTGATAACTTTAAAATCTCAATCTGCTTCCAAGATCTCTTTTTGTAAACACCAAATCTTTATAGCTTCCTGCCCTGCCTGCAGGATGCTTGTATTGGTTAAAGTTTGCTTATAGAGAACAGAACTTACTTTAGCAAGTTTTAGTAGATAGGGGTTTATTATAGGATATGGTTGGGAGGGCTCAAGAAAAAGACCATAATCTGAGCCTCTCAGAACTACTGAACTGTGGAGAATTGGGCAAGTTGGGCACATATTGCTACCTCCATGTCAGGAAACTGCCCACTGGTGTTTTATATAACCTTCATTGCATTTGATAGCTTCAGAGCCATATTTCCTCTGACAAGATCTAGATCAGCAAAATAGATGTCCCCTGTTCTGCCTTTTGGCACTCATAATGCTAGGGACTATACACCAGGCCCCATTAGAGCTGATAGAAGAAATCCAAACACTCTATGACCAAGCTTGGCAGGGAAAACAACAGAAGTAGGAAAAGTACAGCCTCTGCCATCTAAATGTCAAACAAGTTCTTATAGTTAATGGAACATTAGTCATATCTGGACCCTTTTACAGCAAACACATACTAAAAGGAAGCCAGAATGTATATTGAGCAAGCTCATTCTTAGTATCATCCACATTATTCCATGAGACCATCATAAAGACTCTGTAACTCAGAATATTAAAATACAGAGTTGTCAAATATATCTTCTCCTGTGTTTGTTAGCTGCTGTGGAGCACCACTATTCAACTGGAAAACTTGGAAATCAGCTCATCTAAGGACCAGCACACTTTTTGCGAAGAGACAGATAGTAAATAGTTTAGATTTTATAGGCCATTTAGTTTCAGTTATAACTACTGAACTCTGCTGTTGAGGCAGGAAAACAGTCATAGACAATATGTAAATGAATGAATGTGGTTGTGTTCCATTAACACTTTATTAGCAAAAACAAGCAATAAACCAGATTTGTCCCACGAGCATAGTTTGTTGACTCCTGTTCTACTCTGATTGTTTCTGTATTCTTGTTTCATACCTTAGCTTTCTCATCCTGATTACTGTATTAGTCTTCTATTAGTGTCTGATTTCCATTTAATACTCATACTGCTTCCACAGTGATCTTAATATAAGGCATATCTAGTCATGTCCGTTTGCTACTTAAAATTCTTCAACAACTTTGCTCTTTATAAATCTCAAACTGTAACCCCATTTGCTTTTTGCCATCTTGCTACATCCCCAAATGACACTTATGGCTGTCCCTTGTTTCCCTGAACATAACAGGTTTGTTCAGCCTCTGTGGTTTGCATTTAATGTTAAATATTCTTTGAACACAGTTACTGGTCGAATTTACCTGGCTGTTTGTTTTGTATTCATTCTTTACCCAACTTTGTCCTCCTTAACTTCCCCAAATAGCCTTTCCTGATTCTTGTGGGTGGTTTTAGAACCTCTATTTAGGGTTATAATAGCACCTTTGAAAAAAAAAAAAAAAAGAAGATGCTTAATAATGTTATTTATTATATTTGAGCATTTTATTTATCACACTTGTTATAATATATATATGTTTTGATGTACTCACTGGATTGACGTTCATTAAGACCTAGTACTATATCTTTTATCTCTGTTTTCCCATTCTTTGAATTGCTCAATAAGTATTTGTTAAATATTAAATAATTGGATAAAACACTAGATGATGGTCTTAATGTTTATTTTTCTTTTTCCTTTTTTGAGATGGAGTTTTGCGCTTGTTGCCCAGGTTGGAGTGCAGCGGCACGATCTCGGCTCACTGAAACCTCCGACTCCTGGGTTCAAGTGATTCTCCCACCTCAGCCCCCCGAGTAGCTGGGATTACAGGCACGTGCCACCACACCCAGCTCATTTTTGTATTTTTAGTAGAGACGGGGTTTCGCCATGTTGGCCAGACTGGTCTCAAACTCCTGACCTCAGATGATCGACCCGCCTCTGTCTCCCAAAGTGCTGGGATTACAGGCGTGAGCCACCATGCCTGGCCCTAATGTTTCTTTTGAAGGATGATTGCTCAAATTATCAAATTCTTTGATAATTACTTCTCAAAGAAATACTTAAGGAATTCCAAGTCAACCTTGAATAAAGATGAATATTTCTACAGAAAATTGATATTAGCATAGTTTGTTTAGTTGTGAGAAAGATGGCAATTTGTATTTCAGGGAGTGCAATGTCATAAGCCTTTTGTATTAATCTAATGGGAAACCTTATGTATATATACTACCTAAAATTTTGCATCTATGACATGTTTTTGATGTATACATTTGTATATATCTTTATGCAGTTCTTAAAATTGTATCATATTTTAGAGTCATGGGACTCAAACCAAGTAATTCTAGAAGGGAAACAGTACCAGCGTTTTTGAAACCAAAATATTATCTTCAATAGGGTTGGATAAATTTAACATGTCAAAAAGGAATGGTTACTTTTAAAGGCTTTTTGTTTTTTAATTTAATTCTCTTATATTTAAAGTAAGAAAGTATTTTCTAGCCTAGTTGTTTCTAAATAAATATATATTAGATATTTTATTGTCTTGTGCACATTTTTACCAGTTGTCAAGTTTGACTTTTCTTTGGTTTTTAAATTCATATTAAAAATTAAGAGACTGACAAACTTTTAGGAAGTTAGTATTCCTTAAATATTGATAGTTTTGTTATCTGTTTAGACTATATAAATTTATTCAAAAGATTTATCAAAGTAGATGACTGTTGTTATTTAACCAGTGGCCTATTTCTAATAAATCAGATTAAAAAGACAAAAGTATAAAAGTAATGTGTGTCTGCACGGGTAGGTGTAGAATGATCTGCATAGATCTTAGAAAAATAGGAGTCAGGGAACTATAATTTTGTTGTATGTCTCAGCATGGTTCATAGGAGGATAGGTTCTGCTCAGTGGAGGGGGAGTATTTTCTCCCTGTAAGGCCATATGTATCATATTATCATAGTTTATTGACATTATCCCTTAATATTATCCAATTCATTTGTCTTATTTAGATGTATAAAGTAACCTTCTGAGTACAATTTGGCTCCTCTGTTAGTCCATTTGGGTTGCTGTAACAAAACACCATAAACTGGGTGGCTTATAAACAGAAATTTATTTTTCACAGTTCTGGAGGCTGGGGAAGTCTGAAGGCTGGAGGTGCCAGCAGATTGGGTATCTACTGAGGGCCAACATTCTGATTCACAAATGATGCCCTCTTGATGTGTCCTCATGTGGTAGAAGGAGCAAAGGCACCCTCAAGCTTCTTTTATAAGGGCATGAATCCCATTCATGGGTGCCCTGCCCTCATGATATAGTCACCTCCCAAAGGCCACACCTTCTAATACTATCACCTTGGCAGTTAGGATTTCATCATATGAATTGAGGAGGAAAGACACAAACATTCAGACTATTGCAGCTTGCTGTGTAATTTTCCTAAAGGGAGAAAATGTATTATCTGCCAGTATTAACATTCTGGTTCAGTTCATGATATTTACTGTATTTCTTATGTATAAATTGATATTTGTGTTTGTAACATCTTTCTGAGTTTAATTGTGTGTGTCTGTCTTCCTCAGACCTGGCTTTCTCACAAAGTCAAGTTTCAGGTTTTGTGGAGCTGAGAGGATTAAACTCTTAATAATCACGTCACTGTGATAAAGCTTCTTGGGAAGCAGGCTGTCGTAGTAGAAAGAGCCTGTGTTTGGGAGCTAGTGCCTTTTCTTCTCAGAGAGCAACAAGACAGAGGTGTCATCCAGCTGTGTCAGCAGGCAATTTAGGAATTAAGAGTGAAACGAACCATTGTTCAGTCTCTGTTCTTTGTCAGGCTCTGTGTTAGTCACTTTACATTTGTTATCTCAATTGCAGTAACAGATCTGTGAAGAAGATATAATTATCCATTTTCTGTATGGTTAAGGAAACAAAGAGATGGAAAGGTTAGGAAATTAACTGAAGATTACATAGCTGGCAAGTAATAGAATCATGATCTGGAGCTCCTGCTTCCCCCTTCTTTAGTAAGACCAAGCAGTTTATTCTAACTTTATTAAATAATTATATTGAAAATTATTTGACAATTTGTGAAGCAATTTGTATTGAAAAGGGAATTTTTATAGCATAAATTTTTTTTTAGGAAGTCTCCATTTGATGATTAATCTAAACTGGTCCTTCAGCATTCCTCAGAATTTTTGTTTTCTGGCCAACTGTTTTTTTTTTTTTTTTTTTTTTTTCATCTTCTGAAATTACTGTTTTACGCTCTCTTTACTTTCCATCAACCATCTTCTCTTGCCATACCCCCATTTTACTCTGAGCAGATGTCCTTAATTCCTGCTTCACTGAGAGTCCTCTCACACCACCTCTGCTCTAGATCCTATTTTTTATTTTCTTAGAACCTTATCTTGTTGACATTTCCATCCCTCATTTCCCTTATACTGTCTCCTTCTCATCAACATTTAAACGTGCACATTTTATGCTACTCTCCTCATATGTTCTCTGCTTTTCAGTCTCACAAGCTTTCTATTAGTCGTTCACATCCCATTTTCCTTTCTTCTTTAGGGCCTTGGTACTCTTTTTATGCCTGGAATATGCTTCACGCTCCCTGTTAGAACAGATGCTACAGCTTATATGTATTTTATCCTCAAATTATATTCTCGCATGTATCAGAGATTAAAATAAATGTATAATGTTTATTATAAATATAGACTAAAAGAATTACAGTATTTTAACTTTGAAGTACTATTGCATTCATGAATGATTACGCACTTAGTTTATAGGCTCTTAGCCTGAATAGATGTTCAGTAAACAAGGAACTTTTGAAAAATTACATCATATTATCAGTTACATTTAATAATTAATTTCTGACATTAATTTGATTCCTCAAAAGTGTTGATGATCCTCTCTTATTGAGTATGTAGTTGATGCCCATCATTTTCAATATCAGTTCATTGTAAAAGTTAAAATAGCATGAGTCTTTAGTGCTATCTTTACCAGTTGTGAAATTAGTAGTATTTAATAACACTAAAAATTCTCCATCTTCATTGTCTTCAGTGATTTTTAGATTTTTGGTTATTGACTGATAATTCAATGAGATCTTTTGTTAAAAACTAAATTGTTACTTTCTGTTGAATCATGTTAAAGAAATGGGTGATGTTTCTATTCATTGAATTCTGCCCTTACTAAAATCATAAAAATAGTAATAATAATAATAATAATAATAGAGTCACCTAACTGTAATTTGCAGATAAATTGTCACTTCATTTTTATGGCTGCTATGTTCCCAATGCATCCTCCTTAAATTCTCCTTATGTTGAAATCCTAACCGCCAAAATTATGTTATTTGGAGGTCGGCCTTTGGGAGGTAAACAGGTCATGAAGGTGGGACTCTCTTGAATGGGATTAGTGCCCTTATAAAAGACTTTTTGCACTTACTATCTACCTTCCCCTCTCCTTCTACCCCTCATTTTACTCAGAGCCTGAGAGAGCTGCTTATCCTTTTGCCATGTGGGATCATATTAAAAAGGTGTCCGTTGTCAGGGAAGGGAACATCACACACCGGGGCCTGTTGGGGTTAGGGGGCTAGGGGAGGGATACCATTAGGAGAAATAGGTAATGTAGGTGACGGGTTGATGGGTGCGGCAAAACCACCATGGCACGTGTATACCTATATAACAAACCAGCACATTCTACACATGTATCCCAGAACTTAAAGTATAATTTAAAAAAAAAAAAAGGGTGTCTTTCTGTGAACTAGGAACATGAGCCCTTATCAGATACCCAAACTGCTGGCACCTTGAACTTGGACTTCCCAGTCTCCAGAACTGCAAAAAATAAATTTCTCTTGTTTATAAGCCCAGTCTATGGTATTTTGTTACAGCAGCCAGAACAGACTAATATAATAGCTATTCCTTTGTTATCTGAAGCAACTATTTATTAGAAGAAAGTTAGTGTAATTTCTTTTTTTAGCATTCCTTTCCAAACCAAAATTGTTTTAGTAAATGCAAATAACCTCTTTCATCACTATTTTTTCCTAGTTAATTGCCTAAGTGTTTTGTATTTATTTGTATGTTTTAAATAGCTTTGTAGTATTATAAAATACTATCATATTGCAAAATGTCTATTTTCAGATTTATAAACTAAATGACTGTTTAGATATGGAGGAGCTATTGTTTCTTTCTACACGAAAAATACATAAATAAACTTCTGACCTTACAAAAGTCTTATTACTTCTGTATCGGAAAGATTTATAGTGATATCACTACCATTTTCTTTGGAAAAATTTGGAAGGACTGGTGATGTAGAGCACATCTTCTGGGGATGCACAGAATATGATCATATTAGAAAAAACATTTTTCAACTCTATAGGCAGTCTGTCACAGCATGCGACTAGATATGCCATCCACCTGCAGCTCTTCCTGGTTCCCATTTCTCTCTTTTCTACTCACCATACAATCTTTCACTGACAGAAGTCACACAAAGAAAGGGAGAGGACATTATTTGTTTATTTATTTTTTCAGGATTACAACAGACTCCATTACCTCAGGCTTTAACTAGCTTTCAAAAATAGGTGGTAGAAATTGTGATCTGGATCAGTTCCTGCGTCACCATAGATACCAGTCCCCCACAGTAAAATGATGACATTTTAATTAGGAAGATGACTTTACCTTGTGAATTAGAAGCTTTCCCAGTAAACAAGTATGAGACTTTCTGGAGGTTCAAGGTGGAGGAAGATAATGTGTTTACTTGTCTTTAGAGGTCATCAGGAAAGAGGATTTCTGTGTTCACTTCTTTCAGAGCTTGGTACCTGGCTATAATCTCGACCCTGTGGTAATTGTTGCTAGTGATAGTAACTAAGTATTCATGAACTTGCCTTTTCCCTAAAGCAGAAGACCTTCTTGGTCAAGCCTAGGGTCCTGGTGCTTATCAACTGTCAGCCAAAAGTACCATGACAACCTTAGAGAAGCCAGCTCTAGAGAACCTAGACCTAGACCTAGCTACTCTAAGAAAATAATGTAGAATTGAAGTTCAGTAGATAAATATCTATATAGTATACAGTAAGAAATTTTGATATTATGAGCTCTTTTCACTTTTGCAGTTAAAAATTCTGAATTATTTCTGGTACAGCAAGGATACTAGTTCAAATGCATTGTGTTCAGTGAGCTCTATGGAAGTTAAGCATTATCTTAAGCTTCAAAAAGAAGGTCCTCTTAAAGTTGAACACAGTGATTCCTTTTGTAGTTTGCGATAGTAGTTCTGCAGGCAGCAAGCAATTGTTTTGGGATGTTTTCCTTCCCTTATGACCCAACAAACACCATTTGCCTAGCTTTAAAAGGTACAGCTTTTATATATTTAGCTGTTTTTCTGACTTGTCTCATGGATTATACAACAGAGCCCATCATTTGGGCCTGTGTAAACTCCTTTGTATATTTGGTCCCAGTATTGTTTTTACCACTAACTAGAGTTTCAGTAATTTTTCCCCTCTTGTTCAAAACTTGTTCCTTGGCACACAGTAAACAACTTGAAAGAATGAATGTAGTAAGAGCTCGCGTATTTCCTTTATGACCTTCAAATGATAATTTGCTGTTGTTTCACCATATATTTGTCTGTTTGTTCCCATCACTATAGCTTTCATTAGATTTAATGGAGACCTGATGTGGAGTACATTGGTATTCAATTAAATAAACTTTATGACATGTATAAATAATAATTTTAAAAGTTACTCTTCGGCAATTTCTTTTTAGAGATAACATTGTATATCATTATTAATAATAGTTACATAATATGTACCGTCATAGCTTTTATAATTTAAAAGGATATTTTAAAACTAATCATTTGAATTTTTTTTCTCTAAAGCTTAATGTTAGTTGTGTGACATGTCCTTTTTATTTTATCCTTAAATTTGAATGGAAATTAATTTGAACTCTTACATAACACCCAAAATCATGGGTTGGTAAACTACAGCCCGTGGCCTGTTTTTTTATGTTGCCGCAGTGCTAAGAATTATTTTTATATTTTTAAATGGTTGGAAAAAAGCAAAAACAAACAGCATACGTAGTGTGCAAAGCCTAAACTATTTGCTGTATTGCACTTTAAAGAAAAAATATGCTGATCCCTGCTTTAAATAATTGATTTTCTTGGCAGATACTTTCATCTTTTCTTTTCTCCTACTCTTTTTCTCTCTGTCTACCCTTTCCTCTTTTACGATGTGTCAATTACCATACGGCATTTCTGTATGCTTTTGTTTTACACCAAATGTAAAGTATGACTTTTATTCTAGTTTCTATATGCAGTCATGTTATTTTCATATTCTTTGACAAATTCTCTTGTTGTGAACAATCCACAATAACATTGGCTACTTTATTATTTTATTTTATTGCCATCTTGCAGTGTGGACTTACATCTAATTAACTGTCTGCTTTTAGACTTAGGGTATTTTGGTGTTATTACTTCCCATAGTTTTCCAGTTCACTGAATGCATTTCATTTCAGTTATTCATGTGAATAATTTTTCAATAACGGACTAAATTTATTGTATTTCATATAGAATTCTGTTACTGCTCTTTGATTAAAATTTGGTAGTCACTCTAGTCTATGTGTAATTGCTTTCTGCTTCTCAAAAATTTCTCAAAATTGTGTTTGTACTTGTATAAATCTATATGATTTTACTTAATTTAAACACTCTTGTGCTGGAGTGTTATTATAGTAGTAAATACTAGAATTTTATTTTGTAATTCAGAAAAATTACAGGCAGCAACTTTTTGTCTTTATAGATTAATTTGCATTTCCATGGTTTTACATAATTAGAGTTATACAGTGTGCTCTTCCTCTTATCTGGCTTTATACATTCAACATAATTATTTTGAGATTCATGCATGTTATGTGCATTGATAATTTGTTCCTCTTTTATTATGTCATTACTTATGGAAGTATCTTTATACGTTCACCTATTGATGAGCATTTAGGTTATTTCTACTTTAAGACTATTGTAAATAAAGCTGCATTAACACTCAAGTACAAGTCTTAGTTTCAGCTTATATTTTCATTTGTTAGGTTAATACCTAAGGCAAAAAAAAAAGGTTAGATTTTTGCAAAGACTATTATGTTTACTTTTTAAAGAGAATACCAGTTTTCTGAAGTGGTTCTATTAGTTTACATTTCCACATCCGTAGTTGAGGGTTCTGGTTCCTCCAGATTGTTGCCAACATTTGATGTTAGCAGTCTTTTTAATTTTAGCCATTTTAGTGGGTGTGTAGGAGGTTCTCGTACTTTTTATGTGCATTTTCTTAATAACTACTGATGTGACAAACTTTTTAACTGCTTAATAGTGAAGGTTTTTGTTCAATTTTTGAAGGGTTTGTTGTCTTCTCATTACTGAGTTGTAAGAATTTTTATTACATTCTGGATGTAAGTCTTCTATCAAATTTTGCATTGTAAATTGAATTAGTCGGTTTTCACACTGCTATAAAGACGTACCCACGACTGGGTAATTTATAAAGAAAAGAGGTTTAATTGACTCATATTTCCGCAGAACTGGGGAGGCCTCAGGAAACGTATAATCATGGCAGAAGGGGATGAGGCATGTCTTACATGGTGGCAGGCAAGAGAGAGGAGTGTGTGTGGAGCTAAGGGGAAAGAGCCCATTATAAAACCATCAAGTCTGGTGAAAACTCACTCACTATCATGAGAACAGCAAGTGGGAAAACCACCCCCATGATCCAATCACCTCCCACCAGGTTCCTCCCTCTACACATGGGGAGTATGAGGATTACAATTCAAGATGAGATTTGGGTGGGGTCACTGCCAAACCATATCATAAATATTTTCTTCTGTGTCTTTCCTTTTTTTCTGTTATCATGCACTTTTAATGTATAGTTTGATGAGTTTTAGTAAACTTATTTATTTATTTTAACTTTTTTTTTCAGACAGAGTCTCGCTCTGTCACCCAGGTTGGAATGCAGTGGCACGATCTCGACTCACTGCAACCTCCATCTCCTGGAATCAAGCAATTTTCCTGCCTCAGACTTCCGAGTAGCTGGGGCTACAGGCACATGCCACCACACCTAGCTAATTTTTATATTTTTAGTAGAGACGTGGTTTTACTATGTTGGCAGGGTTGGTCTTGAACTCCTGACCTCAGGTGATCTCCCTGCTTCGGCCTCCCAAAGTGCTGGGATTACAGGTGTGAGCCACCTTGCCCAGCCAAGTTTTAGTAAATTTATACAGATGTGCAACCATCTCATAACCAGTTTTGGAATATTGCCATCATCATACAAAAGTTCCTTCATGCTTGTTTGTAGTCAGTTCCTCCTCCTACCCCCAAACCCAGGCAATTACTAATTTTGATAGATTATAATTTCTGTCTTCTTAGTTTTTTTCTGAAAATTTTATATAAATACAGTCATATGACAGGTAATCTTGTGTATCTAGCTTCTTCACTTAGCACAATCTTTTATTTAGAATGATCCATTTTGTTGTATGCAGTGATCCCCAGCCTTTTTGACACCAGGGACTGGTTTCATGGAAGACAGTTTTTCCACACATGTGGGGGCAGAGGTGGTGGTTTTGGGATGAACTGTTCGCCTCAGATCATCAGCATTAGATTCTCATAAGGAGCACACAACCTATGTCCCTCGCGTGTGCAGTTAGCAATAGGGTTCGCACTCCTATGAGAATCGAACGCTGCTGCTGATCTGACAGGAGGCAGAGCTCAGGTTATAATGCTCACTGCCCTGCCGCTCACCTCCTGCTGTGTGGCCCAGTTCCTAACAGCCACCGACTCTTACTGGTCAGCAGCCCAGGGGCGTTGGGAACTCCTGATTGTATGTATAAATAGTCCATTGTTTTTCATTGATGAATAATATTCAGTTCTATGGATATATACATTTTGCTTGTGTCTTGATAAGTTGGTAGACTGCTTTTGTTTATTATGAATAATGCTGTCTTTTCCTCCCTTGATATTGTCTTTTTGAAAAGCAAAATTTTTTGTTTTGATAAAGTCTAGTTTATCCATGTTTTCTTTTGTATATTATGAAAGAAATTTTTGCCTACCTAAGGTTACAAAGTTTTTGTCTCATGTTTTCTTTTAGAGGTTTTAGAATTTTACATTTTAATTTTTATGTACAGTGCAAAATTATTTTTTTTCCATAGAGAAAGTCAGTTTTTTGAGCACCTTTTGTTGAAAAAGACCTTTTTTTTTCTTTCATTTAATCCTTCATTGTAATTTGTGGATACCTTTGCGTTTTGAGGTTATTTAATTTCCTGTCAGTCTTTCCCATAATGGTTTTAATATCAACGATTTCTGCCTAAATCTTTTTCTTAAATTACTTAGGGATTATGAAAGTGTGATTTTCTATTTTTGTTATTCCTTGTGTTTACTAGCTGCGATTATTTTGTAAAGAACTTTAACTCATCAACTGTGCATATTTGGTTACCCTGAACTGCAGTTTCTTTTGAAAATGATATATAAATACTTAGAAATTTCACTGTCATTACCACTTTATAGAGTAATGAGTTGATACAGTAGTCACCACCAAAGGTAGCAGATGAGATGTGATTTTATTCTTTTGTTTTTCATCTGTTAAAAATTATTGTTATGGGCCCATGTATTTTTTTATATATTGTCTTTCAATCAATGATGGTGCTGGATGAGGCTGTATGAACTGTTAACAGCAAGCTAGATTAATAGTGGCTTACACCAACAGATTTGACTGGGTGTAGGTGGTGCTAACATTGTTTCAACTATTCAACAAGGATTCAGGCCTTTCTTTTTTCCATTCCATCATCCTTAGTGTGCTTTTGCTTGTCCCATCATGGTCACAAGATAGCTGTCATGCCGGTAGCCATTATGTCTGTGTTCAAGGTACAGAGGTGGGGCAGAGCCAGTTGTGAGTCAAAAGGTGTTGTTATAATATCCTTCCCCAAATTGCCTAAGCCAACATGTCCTTATGTCTCACTGGCCAGATTTGAGTCACATGCCCAGCCTAGCTATCAAGAAGACTGTGAAAACAAGTGTCTGGCAAAGAGGAACAGAATTGTCAACATCGGCTCAGGCTACTTATCAGCCATTGCCTGAGAAAATTAGGTTTTTATCAAGAAAAAAGAAGAAAGTAGTTTTGGGCAATAGCTAATACATAATGCTTGCCATAAATATCTTTGGTAAAGCACAGAATGACTTTACATTTTATTATATTTAAAAATAAGCTATGTTTTTATGGCTTGCCACATTAATTTGTCATTATTCCATTTTCCTATAAAATTCATTTTATTGTTGAATAAACATTTTCAATAGTTTCCTTTTAATATTAATTACTATTATCTAATATGACTTGGAATATGTTATTCTGTGTATTGACATTATTTAAAAACTTTAATGCCAAACTATGACTTGTTAGAATGTCTTCTTCAGATATTTTGTTAAAAATTGAGAAATTAAAATAGCTCTTCTTCTCCATATTGATCATTTTTATACTCTCTTCCTCATTTTTTTAGGCACTCGGTGTATCACTTTCTGTAGAACTTTCCTCTTCTAATCCATGTTCATCTTCATTCTACCTCTTGTCATTTTTCTCTCATTTCCCACCCCCCACTCCTCACCCCCCTGGCCTTTCTATATAATCTTTTTCTTTTTCTGCCTCTCTTCAAAATAAAGGCTAGAATAAAGTTGATTTCTGGTGTATGAGATCATATTGTACTATTAAATTTCCTTTTTAGTATCTTAATTTTATTTGTATTATGTACTGTTGACTGTTGATTGTTAACAGGTACTGAAATAATTATATTAGGTTAGCTGAGAAGTACACATCAAGCATTAATGGGTTGCATGTTACTGAATCAGCAAAGCTACTGCTAAGCTCTGAATCACAACTAAGGTAGCTAATATAATTCTTGCTTTTAAATTATGGTATTTAATGTGATTCTCTTTTCCTTTAATTCTTGTAATCTCCCATGGAGCTCCATTAAGTTTTCAGTCTTCTAGACATGTGTTATCTCCAGAAAAAGTGTTACGTGTGTGTAACATAATGGAGCATATGCACACAGATATTATAAGCTGCCTTAAATATTTTGTCCTGTTATATAGTTGTCACATGTATGGTGTTATGGATTTATTAAGTGTTCTTCATAAATATTAGGATTTTATAATTTCTCAATGATTGTACATGATTAAGGTACTGTTCTTTTTATTGTCTTAAGTTTACCTGAAAATCGGCCTAATTTTATTAAATACATATTCTACCCAGGGGGAGTGGTTTAAAGAATTATCTGCTTTGTCTGGGCGCAGTGGCTCACGCCTGTAATCCTAGCACTTTGGGAGGCCAAGGTGGGTGGATCACCTGAGGTTGGGAGTTCAAGACCAGCCTGATCAACATAGAAAAACCCTATCTCTACTAAAAATACAAAGATTAGCCAGGCGTGGTGGCACATGCCTGTAATCCCAGCTACTTGGGAGGCTGAGGCAGGAGAATTGCTTGAACCTAGGAGGCGGAGGTTGCAGTAAGCCGAGGTCTTGCCACTGTACTCCAGCCTGGGCAACAAGAGTAAAATTCCTTCTCAAAAAAAAAAAAAAAAAAAAAAAAAAAAAGATCTGCTTCATGGTAAAGACGATTTGATTTGTACCCTTTACACACTATTTAAAAAAGCTGTATCGCTTTTTAGTAGTTAGGATTGTCTATACAGTGAAAGATAGCTACTTTGAATTTTTGCTTGAGTTGACTTTGCATCTTTCTGACTATAACCTCTGTCTTTGGGAAAACACAGTGAGTTGGGAATGTGTTGATCATTTCTTTCTTTCTTTCTACTTCCCACCACCCTTTACTTCTCCCTCCCTATCTTCATTCTCCCTCTCTTTCTCCCCACTTTTCTTTCCACCCCACCCTTTCCCCGTCTTTTTAATGTGATTCTGGGGTTTCTTATTTTTCATTTTGAGTGTGAAATGGTGCACTTATTAAACTTTGAAGAAATATTTTAGTTTTGAAACATCCATGCTAATAAATTATTTTGGAAGTAAAATTTTTAAATCTCTGTGTGGTTTTCCAGTTAAAATCAGTTGGACTCAACTAAGTCTTTATCATAAGTCAGAGTTTTGTGAACTGAGTCACTTTGCAGAATTTCATGACTATAACAGCAGAGCAACATGAGCTAAATTTGTATTCTGTATTTGTCCTTTTCCTTCCCTCAATTTGTTGCCCTTCTTTTATAGACGAAACACTTAAAAAAGAATTTAACTTCTAAAGAATATTTTATTAGAGGAAAAAGTAAAATGTGATTGTTAGTCCTCATGATACAAGGATTTCCTTTCAGAGTTTCAATGTTAATGGTATTATCCACTGTGGGCCCCTGGACTTGCATATTTATGTCATTTTTTGCATTTTATTTCTCATCAAATTCTGTCACTTTTTATTTCTAATTTCAATTATATAAAGTTTTAAAAATCCTGTCACACTTGATTTAATGCTGTATTTATGCTCACAAAGGTTATCTCATATTAGCCTATGGCTTTGTAAACTAAAATATTGCTTGCTATTTCATGAAACAATCTTTATAGCAGTCTTGCTACATCTCTGTTCCATTAGCTATGCCAGCAGTTGCTTTGGTTACAGTGTTCCTGTTTTGGCAAGCTTGGGTATCTTAAACAATTATGCTTCTTTTCTATTTTTGTGGAATTTTATTTTCCTCCCATGTAATGCTACAGAGAGGTTGAGAAAGAAAGAAAAAAATCACATCATAATTATTTCTAAAGCAGGGGAAATATTTTGGTTTTGTAAAGAAAACGATTGTGCCATATTCTGAAATGCTTTTGAGGATGAGGAAGTCTTTTTTTTTTTTTTAAGTATCTTTTTCACTTAAAAAATATCTTTTCTGGCCAGGCATGGTGGCTCACGCCTGTAATCACAGCATTTTGGGAGGCCGAGGCAGGCGGATCACAAGGTCAGGAGATCGACACCATGCTGGCTAACACAGTGAAACCCTGTCTCTACTAAAAATACAAAAAAAATTAGCTGGGCGTGGTGGCGGGTGCCTGTAGTCCCAGCTACGTGGGAGGCTGAGGCAGGAGAATGGCGTGAACCTGGGAGGTGGAGCTTGCAGTGAGCTGAGATTGTGCCACTGCACTCCAGCCTGGGCAACAGAGCAAGACTCCATCTCAAAAAAAAAAATAATAATAAATATCTTTTCTACCCTGTTACATGGTCTTTTATCAAATTTTATATTATAATCTATGAGGTTAGGAAATTTCATAGAAGATTGATTTGTTGAAACTTACAGTGACAATTCATAGAAAAGTTATTCTTAGAATATTGATTATCCAAAGAGAAGACATTGGCTAGAAGATAGCGCAACTTTTGCAGTATAATTTATCTTTTTCTAGCGTAGTATTTTAAAAATGGTTTTGGTCTGTTTGAGATCTTTTACAATTGCCAGAGAACATATCTCAGCTGCAAAATGGGTACATCTGGAGATCGTGTAAAGTCATGGGTTGACAGGATGACCTGTTGGAGGGAGTACAGAATGGGAGTGAAAGACCCAAGACCTGAGCCTGGCCTGCCACCAAGCAGCTGTGGGCCCACCCCCTTGGTAGCTTAGTTTCCTTAACTATAAAGTTAGCATTATGCTACTTATCATGCCTATCTTGTGATGACAAAATAAAATCAGTAGGTCTAAAGGCCTTTTTAATAGCTGGAAGCAATATTTACTCATAAGGTGTTATTGATCACGGGGAGAAAGTGTCTTCTTGGAGTATACTGTTTTCTACAGATCGTGATGGGGTATTGCAGTGAATGCAGACCACCTAGGGGCACAGAGTACCAAGAATGGGAGTGGTTTTGTAAAGAGGGAGTTTGGTAGGGGATGTAAGGAAACAGTAGAATTCCTAGAGCTGATCCTGGAACATTGAAAAAATAGGTAGACAAAGCAGGCAGTTCCAAGATGAGCAGTGAATTGAAGTACTCACTTTGTATTTGTCAATATTTCTTATGCAGTGAGAAAGAGGACTTCATTAGGGACAATTTATGATTTTATTGACCTAAACTGTAATAAAATTGTAATTTGTAGCAGAGTATGGGGAGTCTGGTATGCGAGGCAAGAAGTTGATTAACTGTTCTCTGCTTGCTTAAAACCATCAAGCTCCCCAGAGAACACAGTGACCTGGAATACTAAGAAATAAGAATTTTTTCCATGGACAGTTTTTATGGAGACTTTAAAGTTGAGGAATACATGTGGTATGCAGGCGCCTTTTAGAAGGTTTGAGCTAACGTGTGTATTTGTACAGAAAAATAACATAAGTAATGGTTTCCAAACAGTGACCTGCAGATTGGTGGCAATCATGCCAAGGTTTCATCAGTCCCCTCTACAATTAAAAAAAGGACATGGTAGTGACTTTTTCATAAAGCAGTGTTAATGCTACTGAAAAACAGCTCTAATTCTGATTTTTATCCTTTTTTTTTTTTTTTGGTATTTCAATATTCTTTCCCTCATGAATTAGTGATAGTAGATAGTAAGTTGTTTTTTAATATTCTTAGTGAAACAGAAAACTCATTGGTCATTCTACTTCCTTTTAAGCTTTATTTTACCAATTTTTCTAAAAAATAGGCCTTTCTTTAATTGGTATTAATGGTTACTTGCAAATAAGCATTGTTATTTGGAAAAAACATCAACTTTAAAATCAGACTTGAAGCCCTACTCTGCCGTCTATTCCTTGTCTCTTAACTTCTCTATACTTCAGTTTCCCTGTCTTTAGGAAATGATAGCAACTATGTTGAACATTTTTTTGGGGAAAAGTAGACATCATATATGTAAAACACCTAACATAATGCCTGGTTCATAATAGGAGCTCACTAGATGATTGCAGCAGAGAAACTATTGTTATAAGACCATAATTTTCATCATTAGTAAATTGGGTTTTCTGTCCTTGGAATAAGGATCATACCCTTTTATACTCTGTGCAAGGAACACCTGGGCATTAGAGAACCAGGTAAACCTCTGGAGGAAAGTGATCAACGTGGTATTGCTGAGGAAAATAATGGTTTTTTAGGGGCGGGGACTGAGTCTCGCTGTGCTGCCCAGGCTGGAGTGCAGTGGCGCAATCTCAGCTCACTGCAACCTCCACCTCCCAGGTTCAAGCATTTCTCCTGCCTCAGCCTCCCAAGTAGCTGGGACTACAGGTGGCCGCCACCATGCCCAGCTAATTTTTGTATTTTTTGGTAGAGACGGGGTTTCACCATGTTGGCCAGGGTGGTCTCGAACTCCTGACCTTGTGATCTGCCCTCCTTGGCCTCCCAAAGTGCTACGATTACAGGCTTGAGCCACACGCACCTGACCAATAAGGTTTATTAATTTGACTTTCAGGGATGATGTAAATAGTGGTTCTCAAACTTTGGTGTGTATATGTCACTTGGGATGCTGCCTTGAAAAAATGCAGATTCCTCCCACATGCAAAGGAATGAAATTATTCCCTTACCTTGCACCATATACAAATATTAACTCAAAATGGATTAAAGACCTAAAGGTAAGACTTGAAACTATACAACTTTTAGAAGAAAACATAGGGGGAAGTGTCATGACATTGGATTTGGCAGTGATTTCTTAGATATGACACCAAAAGCACAGGTAACAAAAGCAAAAATAGACAAATGGGACTACATCAAACTTGTAAACGTTTGCACAGCAAAGGAAATATTCAATAGAGTGAAAAGGCAACCAATAGAACAGGCTGAAATATTTGCAAACCATTTATCTGATAAGAGGTTAATATCTAAAATACACAAAGGATGCTTAGAACTCTGCAGGGGTCCCTCCCGCAGACCCTGACCCAACGACAGATAAATAATGTACACTGACACAGATATTATGCTTTTCAGTCTGCTGAGGGTCCAGGCAGCTTACAGACTCCCAGGAGAGTGCCATAAACAGTTGCAACTGGGGCTGTACTCGCTGGCCTTCCGGGCATTTATTCAGCACACGTTAAATGACAAAAGTTTCAAGTAAACATCACGGGAAGGTAATCACCGTTGCCGACCCTCCCCCCTCCTCCCACCAAGTAGAGAGCAATCATGCATCCGTGGATGGTCAAAGGTTAGTCTTAGGACCACATGAGTAAACAAGCTTTTTAGATAGACCCCTTTACATTCCTATGTTAATTACCTTGCTATAGCTCAAAGAGGATTAGGGTGCCTTCAGCCATAACTTTATCCTGAGGCTTTTGCAAAAACCTTCTGGCCTTCCAAGAAGGTTTATTTGACAATTTTTCCCATCATCCTGACTGAAACCCTACATCTCCCCCTTTTCTGTATCAAGCCTTATTGATTGGAGAGCGCAGATATATGCAGGAACAGATTTGTCAGGTGTGGCGATCGTTGCTCTTATTCTGGCTTTGCATCCTAGATAAGACAATCATGAGTATAATTAGTAACATTCTTTTCCAGTCAAAGAGTGACCCCCAGGAGCGGGGGTCTAACCAGGAGATGATCTTGCATACCCTTCCATATGGCTGTTTGTTGGCTATGTAGATCTATAGTGTGAACAGATTCTAAAATTTTAGTTTTAAGTTGCTTTACATCTGCTGTTAAATTGTCATGAAAGGTTCCCCAGAGGTGTTGTTTCACCTCATCCCAACTGTGGATTGATTGATTCCATGGTAGAGAAGTGACACAGATTATGTTTATGCTACTAGTTTCAGTTTAATTGCTATCAGAATGTTAGTGCATCTTGTTGCTCCCCCACATATTCCAAAGCAGCCTCGAGGGCTTGCAGACGTGCAAGAATTTTTTTATCTATACCTTGCCGTAGGAGAGGTTCATTAGACACATTTTTGGCCAGATTACCTACAAAAGCAGCTGTTTGTACTGATTCAGTAATAGATGCCACAGCAAGGCAAGCAGTTGCCGGGATGATTATGGCTGAGACTATAAAGGCCATAAGCGTAACTCTGAATCTTTGGTGTCTGACAGGCACATTCTAAGGTGGCAAGGGCAGAGGAATCTTGCCAATCACGTGTCAAATTGACTGGTAGGAATGCCTCAGATTGTCTCCTTAATACCATGGCACTAGTAATATTTCGAACAGATATATTGTAATATATTGTAATTAGTGATACATGAGTTGAACCAAGCCTGTTCTTGCACCCGGGTCACAAATGTGGAGTATTGGGGTGAAATAGAAATATTGGTTCCCTTAAGGAAAACATATGGATGGATAGTGCAAATTAGGCACTGATGAGTGTGATTGTGAATAAAGGTTATAGTATAGTCATTACTGGAATTATGATATGTCGCATGCCAGGTGTTAAGGGAGGTGCCAAGATGTCCCAGGTGTCATAAAGTGTCTTGGGGGTGGCATGGACTTTACTTGGGGTCTGAGATATCCCATCCCCCCATCGGCCCAAATCATAGGGGAATGGGACGTGGCAATGAAATGCTGATTGAGTCATGACAGGTGAGGACATTAGTAAGGCTGCCCTGCAAATGGCCGTGGGGGCTCCAGTCTAAGATGTTATAGTTGCCTCACTGGAGGCCACGGGCTTGTCCCCTGTGACAGACCTCCCAGCTAAAGTGAAATCCGTTACTTTCCCAGCTTTGTCCTTTAGCACAGGAAGGAATGTTTGGGAAAGCGGCATTGATTGTATTACCTGGTTTGAGGCCACCTGCAGCTAAAGCTGTTAAGGCATTTTCTTTGCCATGATTTAGCCATAATTGTGTTTGGGCAGAGATACACAGTAAGGGTTAAAACCTTTATAATTTACATACAGTGGGAGAATAGTGGAGTTATATGTAGTGTTATCTGGCACCTTAGTCCAATATGTGCCATTATTGAGGGACCCCACTGGGGGTAAATCTATCCCTCCTAGCCAAGCAGTCACGTTATTATAGGCTATCTGGCACCTTAGTCCAATGTGTGCCATTATTGAGGGACCCCACTGGGGGTAAATCTATCCCTCCTAGCCAAGCAGTCACGTTATTATAGGCTGGGAAGCGGGTGTCTGCCCAGGTGACAGGGCGAAAGAAAGGCGGATCTAAGATATGAGCCCAATAGAGTGTAGCAGGTACAGGTTGCAGACAAAGTGAGAGCATATAAAGGATCAATACCCTATGTGAGTTGCAATGTACAACAGAAAGCATAGCTAGGAACAAATTATTTGGAGTAAATGGTGTCTGTGTCTGGAGTAGAATTCGTTTCAGCCTTCTGAGTTATCCTCTTCAGCATCAGGTGACATTTGAGGCTTGTGTCGTCTGTGGAAGCCGCATTGTTCAGGGCTGCGGGTCCTGTAGGGTCAGTTCCTTCATCTCTGGTACCAGGTTGGGTCCTAGGCACGCCATGGTGTGGTTTGATGCGCCATGCTGGAACACAAAGAGGACCTAAGGGGGTGTGAACACAAGCATGTCCTCTTCCCCGCATTAGTAATTCACTTGGACCACACCGTACATTACTGTTCACATCTTTCCATGAAACTGCAGGTTTTATACCTTGAGAGGTTTTAGAAAAGTGCTTTTCTACAGCTGATTGAAATTTGTCATCTAAATTTAAAAACTTAAGGGTAAATAAGGCTTGTGCCAATAGTGTTGCAGGGTCTTTACCCATACTCTCCCTTTTCTGTTTTCTGAGCATATTTTTAAGGGTGGAGTGGGCACATTTTACTATGGCATGTTCTTGGGAGTTATATGGGATGCCTGTGGAATGTTCGATGTGCCATGAGTGACAAATTGTTGAAATTGTGAGCTGGCATAAGCTGGACCATTATCAGTTTTAATTTTTTGGGCCACCCCATAAACGCAAAAGTTAAAAGATGTTTAATGACATACCGGGTTGATTCTCTAGGCAAAGCATGGGCACTAATTAAGTGAGAATTGGTATCAATGGATATACGTACATATCTAAGTTTTCCAAATTCAGGGTTGTGTGGAACGTCTGTTTGCCATAACTGATTAGGTTCTAATTCTCTAGGGTTAACACGTGTGGAGATTGCCTGTGAGCTGGCAATCTGGGCATTGTAGGATAATTTGTTTAGCCAGTTTCTGGGTAAGTTGAAATTGTTTAGATAAGTTTCTCCAATTTTGGTGGAAAAATTGATGTGATTGGGTGGCTTGGTCAAGCAGTGATGTCATAACCTGAAGGTCTGCTTGATTATTACCATAAGCCAATGGGCCAGGCAGAGAGCCATGGGCTGGAATGTGTGTGATAAAAATAGGTTGTGTATGTTGATCTAGCAATTGCTGAAGTCGAAGAAAAAGAGCACACAGGGTGGGCTCAAGAATGTACCTAATTAAGGCTGTTTCAAGGTTCTGCAATAAATAAACAGAGTAAGCTGAGTCACTCACGATATTTATGGGCTGAGTGGAAAAAGTTTCCAAGGCCAGTATCAGAGCCCCGATCTCAGCTCTCTGAGTGCTAGTAAACCCAGATCGAGTGATTGAGTTATGTGGTCTCCACCAGACTGCTGCTTTTCCATGTTTATCATCCGGTTTTTAACTGCTCCTTAACTAACTCATGGGCTCTTTGTTAATTTCCCTTCAGAGGTTACTGTTTACTTAAACTGGATTTGGAGAGAGTCACATTAGGGGTAAGAGAGAGAACAGTGGCCATCATCAGAAATAGGTCTATCAAATTCTTAAATTTTACTTAAATTTTAGCAGCAAATTATAATCTGAGATGTTGCTTGTATACAAGGAACACACGAAATTTTGCCCTGGGCTTCCTGCGGAGCTGGAGAGCTGAGCAGGTGGGCCCCAGGGTGGCAGCCACTTTGCACTTGCTTAGGCGCTGCTGCTTTTCTGCTGCTGGCTGGGTGGACCTTCCCGTTTGCACCTCCTGCCCCTCCCCAGCAGGCCAGCTCTGGCGTGCCTGGCCTGGCTTCCTGTTGCTGCCTCTGCTGTCCAGGCTGAGTTCCCAGGAGCATTTGCTGGCTCTGGGTTTGTGAGCTTACCCGCTGCAGAGCCTTTCTTTTAATTTACCATCTGCTTGACCATGGGGCTCTGGCCTCTAATGCTTTATCTTTTTATAAGTGTTAAAAGAAATACTCGATTGCCTTGTCAATCTTGCATTACTGGGCAAGCTAAGAACTCCCCTTCTAATGCCACTTGCTTAAGACAGGGTCTTGTAGCTGCAGCGTTATCTCTTGTCTTTTTACCTATTTATTGGAGGAGGGGGTTCAGGCAAAACCTCCATTTCCTCTTTGTTATTTTGGCCCGGTGATAGTGGGGCTGAGGGAAAAGGAGGTGGTAAGGCAGGTGACTTTCCTCCTCCTTCCCCTTTTTAGGCTCTCTGTTGTATAACGAAGCCAGGGCTGCCTTAATTAAAGCCCACAGCATTAAAGATGATGCTGGGACCTGTTGCCCTTGTGCATAATGTTGTTTCAGATTTCTCCCTACTTGTTCCCAGAGCTTTATGTCTAGCATGCCTTTTTCCAGGAACCTTGGGCTTTGGGTTACAACAGTTTGCATCAGGTCCCTTAATTGTGCCTGTGAAACCGAGGTTCCACTAGCTTCAAGCAGCTGTTTAAATACTTTTATATACTGTTTCTGTTGAGCTGATAACTGTTGTCCCATCATGAACCCTCAGCCTGAACAATCCCCCCCAAACTTGGAGATCCCGAGTGGGCACCAATGACTTACTGATTACTCACTGACTGCGCGGTGCTTTTCACTTCTTTTCGGCGGTCCGTCGTGCTTCCTCCGCAGCGTTCCTCACACGGGGCACCAGCTGCGGGGGTCTGTCTGGCAGACCCTGACCCAACGACAGATAAATAACGTCCACTGACACAGATGTTATGCTTGTCAGTCCAGCTGAGGGTCCAGGCCGCTTACAGACTCTCAGGAGAGTGCCATAAACAGTTGCAACCCCGGCCCCGACTCCTTGACAACCACCCCCACCCCCGCCCAGTAGAGAGCAATCATATACCTGCGGATGGTCTAAGTTTAGTCTTTAAAGAAGCTATTTAGATAGACTCCTCTATATTCCTATGTTAATTACCCTTGCTATAGCTCAAAGAGGATTAGACTACCTTCAACTGTAACTCTATCCTGAGGCTTTTGTAAAAACCTTCTGGACTTCCAAGAAGGTTTATTTTACAGTTTTTCCCACCATCCTGACTCAACCCTAACAGAACTCAACCACACACACACACACACACACACACACACACAAAACCTGGTTTAAAGCTGGGCAAAAGACTTAAATAGATATTTCTCCAAAGAAGATATACAGATGGCCAGCAATCATGTGAAAAGATGCTTACTGTCATTAATCGTAAGGGAAATGCAAATTAAAACCACAATGGGATATTACCTCCACCCATTAAGGTGTCCATCAAAAAAAAAAAAAAAAAAAGAAAATAACAAGCGTTGGCAAGGATGTTGAGAAATTGGAATCTTTCTGCACTGTTGTTGATAACTCTATACTCATTAAATAACTCCCCATTGCCCTCTTCTCCTAACCTCTGGAAACCTCCATTTTACTTTGTGTCTTTATGAATCTGACCACTACAGGTACCTCATGTTAAGTGGAATCATACATTATTTGTCTTTTTTTGACTGGCTTATTTCACTTAGCAAAATGTCCTCAAGGTTTATCCGTGTTGTAATGTACATCAGAATTCCCTGCCTTTTAAAGGCTGAATAATATTTAATTGTGTATATATGCTATATTTTGTTTATCCATTCATCCATCAATGGACACTTGGTTTGCAAACATATGTATTGTTTTCTGTTACCCTTATGTATTGGTTTCCTGGGGCTGTCATTAAAAATTTACACAAGGGTAAAAAAGAATTTAAGAAGAAAAAATTGCCACAACTGGGGTGGCTTAAAACAATAGAAACGTATTTTCTCACAGTTCTGGAAGCTGGGAGTCAAATCAAGGTGTTGGCAGAACACCTTGAACTCTTGAAGAATTCTTAGCCTCTTGTGAGGTTCTGGTGGTTCCCATCAATCTCAATCCTGGGTATTCCTTGCTTTGTAATTGTATCATTCCAGTCTCTGCCTCTGTTGTCACATGGCCTTTTTCGCTGTGTGTCTCTGTGCTTTTCTTTTAAAAGGACATCAGTCATTGGCTTTAAGGCCCACTATAATTCAGTATGACTTTATCTCAACTAATTACATGTGCAAAGATGCTGTCTTCAAATAAGGTCACATTCTGAGGTTTGGTTGGACATGATTTTTGGAAGGACATTGTTCAACTCACTATGTCTTCTACAATTTAATTCATCTGTTAAGCATATAAAGACGTATATTAGCTCTGACTACCATAACAGAATACCATAGACTGGATGGTTTAAACAGCAGTTTATTTCCTCACAGTTCTAGAGATTGGAAAGTCTAAAACAAAGATCCAGCAGGATTCAGTTTCTGGTGAGGGCTCTGCTTCTTGCTTACAGACAGCCGCCTTCTTGCTGTGTCCTGCCATGGCAGACAGAGTGAGCAAGCTTTCTGGTATCTCTTCTTCTTAGGGTACTGATCCCATGAGACCAGCCCTCCCAACCCCTTGTCATGACATTGTTGCAGGACTTTTCCTTAGTTCAGCTAACGATGGGGTCCTTGTTCGTCCCATGGCCACAAAAATTTAGGCTTTCAGACAGTTTGAAGGGTGAGTGAAGCACAGTTTTACTGGGGGAAAAGGGGGAAAACAGGGCCTCTCGCAAAGCCAGAGTCCCTGGTACAGTGCTTCCTGCCCGGCAGTTCAAATCCCAGGTTCCACACAGGAAGAGGAAGGGCCAGGCTCCTCCCTGCTGCAAAGGCGGTGAACTTCCCGAGGCTCCACCTCAGTGGGCAGGCAGGTTGGAGTTTCTCCAGGGACCCCCTCCCACCTGGCTGTTTCATTCCCCCCTCTAAAGAAGTACATCTAACTGCCATTAGATGGAAGGGTAAAGATGAAGACTGATCTTAACTGCCTCTTGCTGACAGGGGGCGCTATTTTGGGGGAAATGGCAGTCAGAGCTTCCTAGAGGCCAATCTAAGGGTTCCCAGCAGAAGGAGCCATCGTCAGAGGCTCTGGTTGTGTGACCATTTGGAGTCTGATGGCTTGAAGGCAAGAACAGACAAACCATCTTATTAGAAGACATGTATCAAAATGAAACAAGGGGAGGGGTAAGGACCGCTCAGAAATTCCGAGGCCTTCTACCAGTTTGCACAGGGAGAGGGAGGCCAAAAGCCTGACTGGCAAAAAAAACTTTATCCTTTTGGTGGTATGTTGGGCTTCTGGGATCTCTTCCCCTGAGCTTAACCCTAAGCCAGTGAGTTTGAGAAATTCTTTGCAGTTTGGAGGATGCATCTGAAGGGAGTGTCCCCTAGTACAGAGGCACAGTTACCTATCAGTGAAGAGAGGACAGATGAGAAGAAAGAAAAAAGAAGGCATCTTTTAATGGCTTCCCGGGGGTTCAGAATGCATTAGAAAGGGGTACAGACTGAAGATGAATGGCTGCCCATTTAGAAAGAGAGGAACAGGCAGCCCTGGTTCCCTTCTCTTCCTACCAGATACCTGGGGTACGTGAGGGAGAGAGGGAAGAGTGTCCTCTTTCCCTCTTCTGTCCTTGCACCCCCAAGTTCCAGCAACCTTGGCAGGCACCGCAAAAGCAGCTTGCACCCTTGAGGTAGGGGGGCCTAGAGAATAGGAATTATCCACTCTTACCTATGTCTCTCTAGCACCTACTGTCAGTAATCTTGGAGTTCCCTAGACCTCATTTATGCCATGGATATTAACCTGGCCTTTATCCATGAAACAGGAAGGTTGGGGTTGGCTTGTCAGGAATGAGCCACGCTCACCTGCGCTGTGCCTTTTAACCTCTGTTGTCATCTGCCTCTGGATCCCTCAGGTCCAGTTTTCTTTCCTAGGGCTTTGACCCAAAGCTTGGAATTGAGCCTGGGACAAAAATGTGTCTCGGAGGGGTTGCATGGACTCCTTATCATTAAGCTGAATGCTAAGGTGAAACTGTGTAATTGAGTCCTCCTCCAAAAAGGGAGAGAAAATGATGTCTTGTGACACACCCAGATAACTGGTAGCTATAGTCATGCTTGCCAGGATTTGGGTGCGTGGTGCTTGGCTTTGGTTAGCTCCCTTGGTCTTACTTTCCCAAAAGGAAACCTCTGAGTGATGCGCATCCTATTTATTCCCATCACCTGGCAGGATTTGCAGGATTTTAGCTCAGAAATAGAAAATTGATCCAGATTTTTACATTACCCATCCCTCTTGTTCTTTCTGAGTTGCAGCTGGAGACTGCTGTTTGATTTACAGGAATAAGTAAGGTTAGTCTAAAATGTAGGCGAAAACTTAAAAACAACTAGTGAATTTAGAATTTAATGACAAATATATGATGAGTTTTGAAACATAACTTCTCTGTCTCCAGTCCTCATGTTTGTTAAAAAATCACCACAGGACTGAGTTCTTTGAAAAATAGACTTTAGGCTGGGTGCGGTGGCTCATGCCTGTAATCTCAGCACTTTGGGAGGCTGAGGCGGGTGGATCACTTGAGGTCAGGAGTTCAAGACAAGCCTGGCCAACATGGTGAAACCCCGTCTTTACTAAAAATGCAAAAAATTAGCTGGGCGTGGTGGTGGGCACCTATATTCCCAGCTACTGGGAAGGCTGAGGCAGAGGAGAATCGCTTGAACCCAGGAGGCAGAGATTGCAGTGAGTTGAGATCGTGCCATTGCACTCCAGCCTAGGTAACAAGAGTGAAACTCCATCTCAAAAAAAGAAAGAAAAAAAGAAAAACAGACTTCAGTTTTATACTTGGCCTGGTTATTTGCATAAAGTGCAGCAAGAATAATTATTTCTACATAGGCCTTTTGGAGTGGCTTTGATGGAATTCTGTTCCACAAGGAATCTCAGATAAGACCTTTTAAAGCCGAGCCCAACCATGGGTTTGTATCCTCAAATACCTGTGATTTGGGTGAGCCTCTCCTCTTAAGGTCCCAAGATAAACTTGGAGCTCCTGGACCTGTTAGAAAGGGACATTCTTTACTGACCACAGGTCAGGAACCCTGTACAGGGACTGAGTAGCTGAGGGTTTGAGGCCAGTTTCCCCACTGGACTTTTATGGACTCTGCAAGTCACGACTGACCCCTTAAAGAGAAGCATGCCCTTCCAGTCAAAGCCTTGGTAAATTACCAGTTTTTTCAGTTGTGTCATGTTGCAAAAGAAAAATGGATTCTTGTTGCACTGATGCAAACAACTATATTGCCATAAGAATACTCACAGATAGTTTCCAAATTTTAGAGGAACTAGACAGAAACAAACATGCTCCAGTCTTGATCACGGGGGGTATACCTTACCCAATTAATAAAGGCCATAAATGTATAAAATAAGTTTCCTTGACTCTGAAAAACAAAACAAAGGTCAGCAATATTCCAACCAAAAGTCAAAAAGTTTGCTTCAGCTTTCTGAGTTCAGTCGATAATTGGTTAATTATTGTTTTGCTTGATATTTTTGAACATTTTAGCTCTTCGTGAGTCTTGTACATTTTCCTTTATTCCAATGTCGCAATCTCCAAAGTTATGAGAAGCCTGTATTTGAGAGCACCTGCCAAAGTTCTGTAGATTATAAACCATCTTTTGAAAAGGATAAAAACAAGACAACAATTGTCTGTGAATTGCAAAATGTCCAGGGTACAGTTCAAACACAATTGACGAAGTTTGGTTATCTCTATGGTTTCCAATAACTTAACCTTAATTATGATTAGTAGCATATACTTAGACATTACAATTTTAGAAATTCCATACAATTTGGAACATATGTTAGCAATATTTACAAAAATATAACCTAAAGAAGACTGAACATCATTTTGGCAATCCCATGTAGCTAAACATGTCAAATAATTCTGTTTACCTCTCTTTTCTAGACATTTCAGGGACCCTCTGCACTATCTGAAAAGCCAGGTGTCAGGAAAGACAATTCTGAAACTGAAGTTTGATTTTGGGAAGCCTTTTTAATATTTTTAAAGCACTTGATTTTATGAAATAGAATTCCAGATTAACATAAACGATTTTATTTTGTCAAAATGACTCAGAAATTTTAAAGAAGCAAAAACCTTTTATAAACCTTTTGAATTTAATTAATATGTTCACACAGAGAACCTCTTCTGCAAGATTAATTCCCACAATTTATGTGGGAATTTATGGGTTCTATTTATGTGATGGATTACATTTATTGATTTACGTATGTGGAAGCCAACTTGATCAGGGTGGATAAGCTTTTTCATGTGCTACTGGTTTTGGTTTGCCAGTATTTTATTGAGGATTTTCACATCGATGTTCATCAGGGATATTGGCCTGAAATTTTTTTTTTTTGTTGTGTCTCTGCCAGGTTTTGGTATCAGGATGATGCTGGCCTCATAAAATGAGTTAGGGAGGAATCCCTCTTTTCCTATTGTTTGGAATAGTTTCGGAAGGAATGGTACCAGCTCCTCTTTGAACCTCTCGTAGAATTCGGCTGTGAATTTGTCTGGTCCTGGGCTTTGGTTGGTAGGCTATTAATTACTGCCTCAATTTCAGAACTTGTTATTGGTCTATTCAGGGATTTGACTTTTTCCTGGTTTAGTCTTGGGAGGGTGTATGTGTCCAGGAATTTATCCATTTCTTCTAGGTTTTCTAGTTTATTTGTGTAGAGGTGTTTATAGTATTCTCTGATGGTAGTTTATATTTCTGTGGGATCAGTGGTGATCTCCCCTTTATCATTTTTTATTGTGTCTAATTGATTCTTCTTTCTTTTCTTCTTTATTAGTCTGGCTAGTGGTCTATTTTGTTAATCTTTTCAACAAAACCAGCTCCTGTATTCATTGATTTTTTTTTAAGGGTTTTTCGTGTCTGTATCTCCTTCAGTTCTGCTCTGATGTTAGTTATTTCTTGTCTTCTGCTAGCTGTTGAATTTGTTTGCTCTTGCTTCTCTAGTTCTTTTAATTGTGATGTTAGGGTGTCGATTTTAGATCTTTCTCTCTTTCTCCTATGAGAAATTTCCCTCTAAACACTGCTTTAGCTGTGTCCCAGAGTTTCTGGTACATTGTGTCTGTGTGAGAAATTTGAGTGAATTTCTCAATCCTGAGTTCTAATTTGATTGCGCTGTGGTCTGAGAGACTGTTAGGATTTCCGTTCTTTTGCATTTGCTGAGCAGTGTTTTACTTCCAATTATGTGGTCAATTTTAGAATAAATGCGATGTAGTGCTAAGAAGAATGCATATTCTGTTGGTTTGGGGTGTAGAGTTCTGTAGATGACTATTAGGTCCGCTTGGTCCAGAGCAGGGTTCAAGTCCTGATATCCTTATAAATTTTCTGTCTCGTTGATCTCATATTGACAGTGGGGCATTAAAGTCTCCCACTATTATTGTGTGGGAGTCTAAGTCTCTTTGTAGGTCTCTAAGAACTTGCTTTATGAATCTGGGTGCTCCTGTACTGGGTGCATATATACTTGGGATAGTTAGCTCGTCTTGTTGCATTAATCCCTTTACCATTATGTAATGCGCTTCTTTGTCTTTTTTTATCTTTGTTGGTTTAAAGTCTGTTTTATCAAAAACTAGGATTGCAACCCCCGCTTTTTTTTTTTTTTTTTTGCTTTCCATTTGCTTGGTAAATATTCCTGCATCCCTTTATTTTGAGCCTGTGTGTGTCATTGCACGTGAGATGGGTCTCCTGAGTATAGCCCACCAATGGGTCTTGACTCTTTATCCAATTTACTAGTCCGTGTCTTTTAATTGGGGCATTTAGCCCATTTACTTTTAAAGTTAATATTGTTTTGTGTGAATTTGATCCTGTCATCATGATACTAGCTGGTTATTTTACCTGTTAATTGATGCAGTTTCTCCATAGTGTCCGTGGTCTTCACAATTTGGTATGTTTTTGCAGTAGCTGGTACTGGTTTTTCCTTTCCATATTTAGTGCTTCCTTCAAGAGCTCTTGTAAGGCAGGCCTGGTGGTGACAAAATCTCTCAGCATTTGCTTGTCTGTAAAGGATTTTCTTTCTCCTTCGCTTATGAAGCTTAGTTTGGCTGGATATGAAATTCTGGGTTGAAAATTCTTTTCTTTAAGAATGTTTATTGTTGGCCCCCACTCTCTTCTGGCTTTTAGGGTTTCTGCAGAGAGATCTGCCGTTAGTCTGATGGGCTTCCCTTTGTGGGTAACCCGACCTTTCTCTCTGGCTGCCCTTAATATTTTTTCCTTCATTTCAACTTTGGTGAATCTGACAACTATGTGACTTGGGTGCTCCTCTTGAGGAGTATCTTTGTGGTGTTCTCTGTATTTCCTGAATTTGAATATTGGCCTGTCTTGCTAGGTTGGGGAAGTTCTCCTGGATAATATCCTGAAGTGTGTTTTCCCACTTGGTTCCATTTTCCCTGTCACTTTTAGGTACACCAATCAAACGTAGATTTGGTCTTTTCTCCTAGTGCCCTATTTCTTGGAGGCTTTGTTCATTTCTTTTCACTCTTTCCTCTAATCTTGTCTTCTTGCTTTATTTCATTGAGCTGATCTTCAATCTTTTATATCTTTTCTTCCGCTTGATCGTTTCGGCTGTTGATACTTGTGTATGCTTCATGAAGTTCTCGTGCTGTGTTTTTCAGCTCAATCAGGTTCATTTATGTTCTTCTCTAAATTGATTATTCTAGTTAGCGATTTTTCTAACCTTTTTTCAAGGTTCTTAGCTTCCTTGCATTGGGTTAGAACATGCTCCTTTAGCTCGGAGGAGTTTGTTATTACCCACCTTCTGAAGCCTGCTTCTGTCATTTCATCAAACTCATTCTCCATCCAGTTTTGTTTCGTTGCTGGCGAGGAGTTGTGATTTTCTGGAAGAGAAGAGGCATTCTGGTTTTTGTAATTTTCAACCTTTTTGCGCTGGTTTTTCCTCATCTTTGTGGTTTTATCTACCTTTGGTCTTTGCTGTTGGTGACCTTCAGATGGGGTTTCTCTTTGGACTTCCTTTTTGTTGATGTTGACGCTATTCCTTTCTGTTTGTTAGTTTTCCTTCTGACGGTCAGACCCCTCTGCTGCAGGTCTGCTGGAGTTTGCTGGAGGTCCGCTCCAGACCCTGTTTGCCTGGGTATCACCAGCAGAGGTTGCAGAACAGCAAAGATTGCTGCCTGTTCCTTCCTCTGAAAGCTTCGTCCCAGAGGGGCACCTGCCAGATGCCAACTGGAGTTCTCCTGTATGAGATGTCTGTCGACCCCTGCTGGGAGGTGTCTCCCAGGCAGGAGGCACTGTGGTCAGGAACCTACTTGAGGAGGCCGTCTGTCCCTTAGCAGAGCTTGCTTCAGAGCCAGCAGGCAGGAACATTTGAGTCTGCTGTAGTTGCGCCCACAGCCACCCCTTCCCCCAGGTGCTCTGTCCCAGGGAGATGGGAGTTTTACCTATAAGCCCCTGACTGGGGCTTCTGCCTTTCTTTCAGAGATGCCCTGCCCAGAAAGGAGGAATCTAGAGAGTAAAGATTATTTTATTTACCCGTTAGGTTGATGCTCTTATTTTTGCTGTTATGCACATGAGGAAACTAAGCCTTAAAGAGGTTAGATAATTTGCCTTTAGGTTTTGACTGCTATGTGGTAGAGTTTGGATGCTGATCTAGGTCTGGCTCCAAAGTCTGTGAAATAAGAATAACAAAAAGCTAGTAATGGAATACAAAATCCAATAGAAGCCAAAATTTAGTTACTTAACAAGATTAACAAATTAAATTGATAAATACCAACAAGACTGATGAGGAGAAGGGAAAAAAGAGGCACAAATTACCACGATCAAGAATGAAAAAGGTGATCTAATAACAGACCCAACAAAAACTAAAAAAAGTTAAGACAATATTAAGTATGAGTTTATACCAATTGATTTGAAAATTTAGATGAAATTGACAAATTTCTGGAAAACAACATATCAAAAATGACACTAGGAAAAGTATAAAATCTATCTAGTTCTATATCTATTAACAAAATTGAATTTATTATTAAAAAAACCTTTCCTTGGAGAAAACTCCAAGGCCAATCAGCTTCACTGGGGCAATTCTTCCAAACATTTAAGGAATAAATAAACCAGTGTTATGTAAACTGTATCCAAGAATTGAGAAAGAGGGACCAAACATATGTACCTGCTCATTTTATGAGGCCAGGTTAATGTCAATATGAAAATGAGAATATTGTAAGGAAGTAAAATTACTAGTTGTCTTCCTTTAAAATCTGTACAAAAATAATAAGCAAAGTGTTAGTAAATGTAGCCACAGAGATCTAAAACTGATAATGTATTATGACCAAGATGGCTTTATTCCAGAAATATAACATAATTTCTCAAGTAAAGGGGGAAAATTATTATCTCAATACATACTTAATAACATTCAAAATCAATTCATGATTAAAAATACTCTTAGCAAGCCAGTATCTTTAATCTGATAAAGGGCATTTCTAAAAATCTCGATGGTGAAATATTTAAGGCTTTCCATTTGATATTAGGGATGATGCAAAAAAACCACTCTTATTTCTTCTACTCAGTGCAGTACTGAAGATCCTAGCCAAAGTAATAAGAAAAGCAATGAGATAGAGGAGAATGGGAAGGGAGAAATAAAAATTATTCAGAAATACCATGGTTATATAGTTAGAAAAGTCAAAACAATTTACTGATTGTTTACAAAAAATTTAAAAACATACAATTTATATCAAAAAATAATAGAAATAATTTAAACTAAAGATATATAAGACTTTTTCACAGAAAACTATCTATAAAACATTAAGAGAAATTAAAGACCTGAGTAAATGAAAAGAGATACCATATTCATGGATTTGAGAACTCAATATTACAAAGATATCCATTATTTCTAATTTTATCTATAGAGTTAATGCAATCTCAAACAATACCTGAAAACTTTTTTAAAAAAAGGACATTTGTCAAGCCAATTTTGAAATTTATATGGAAGTGTCATATATCAAGAAGAGCCTATACCAAATTGAAGAACAGAGGCAGAGGATTGCCAAATCTGGTATTTAAAGCTACAGTAATTTAGATAGGTGAATTGTAAGGATAGAGAAATGGTAGAGATTTGAAAGTCCAGAAACTCACACACATATTTAGAAACTTGGTTTATTGCAAAGGTGACTTTTCGGGAGTGCGGGTGATTTTTATTTGCTCTTTTTTTGATCAATTGGGTATTCATGTAGAAAAACACTAATCTTGACTCCTATTTCACATTGTATAGAAATTAATTCCAGGCGAATTGTATTTCTGAGCATGAAAGATAAACCAATAGAGTTTCAGGAGGATAACTTTATGAATGAAAGATATCTTTATGAATGTGGGGTGGGGAACACTTATCAAACAATACCAAAAGTACTAAACCGTAGAGAGTAAGATTAATAAAATGGGCTACATTCAAATTAGGAATTTCTTTTCCTTAAAATACTTGATTAAGAGTGGGAGAACATATTTGCAGTACATATAATTATCAAAGTGGTTGTATCCAAAATATATAAACAACTTTATATGTAAATGACAAAAAACAACTAGTTAAAAAAAATGGGCCAAAATATGAATAAGTTCTTCACAAAAGAAGATATCCAAATGGGTAATTACCATGTAAGAAGTATTCAGTTTTTTAGTCATCATAGAAATACAAATTAAAATCATAGTACTCACTCAAAATAATAGCCAGAATTAAAGGAATGATCATTTGAATTTTTGGCAAATTTGTGGGGCATCCACAGTTTTCATATATCGCTGGTGGGAGTGTAAATTGCTGCAATGGCTTTGTAAAATTGGCAGTATCTACAAACTCTAAGTGTACTAATATGATTTAGCAATTCTACTTTTGCCTACAGAAATGCATATGTATATATGTTCACTAATAGAGGTGTACAGAATGTTCATGGCGGCATAAATTAAAATACCTAAAGGTAGAAGTAAGCCTATTATTTATCAACAGTAGGATGGATAAACTAAAGCAAATTACTACAGTGGAATACTGCACAGCAGTAAGAAATGAATCAACTACTGCTGCATCCAACAACATGGACGAATTTCACAAAAAAATATGTTGAGTAAAAGGGACAAGCCACAAGATAATACATACTGTATAATTCCATTTATGTGAAATTCAAAAACAGAATAAATTTTTGGTGTTAGAAGTAATGATAGTGATAATATTTGGAAAGGTGCAGTTTGGGGAGCTACACAAGATTCAAAGGTGCTGATAATACTTAGCTTCATGATCTAGGTGATAGTTAACTAGGTGTGTTCACTTTGTGATAATAAAGCTGTGCTTACATAATTAGCATACTCCTCTGTATGTATGTTACTTAAAGAATTTTATTTCAGGTAATTATTTTGCAGTTTTTTTACTGGCATAATCTATGTGTTAAGCTATAAATATGAATGCCATTAATTGAAAAAGTGAACATGTTAATTGACAAGTTTAAAATTACTTCTAGAATTATAAATATTGTAAATTGTATTATAAATAATGCTGTAATATATACTTCTTTAATGATGAGCTATATTTGTAATATAATACACCATTACGTTAAAATAATGCCAATAGATTTCAGAAGTAACCTTTTCAAACATGTTTTGAGAAGTTGGAAGTTAGTAATTTTTGGAGCGGAGAATTTTGAAGAGTGGTTTATTTTAGCTAGGTGTTTTAAGTGAAAAATTTAAGTGTTTTTTAGTTGTTGTATGCATAAATCTTACAGCGTACATTCAGCTGATAACACTGAAACTGTACTGTGTGTGGAGAAGCTATGCTTTTCAGATCCTCTGATAATAGTAAAGGCAATAAATATAGTTTTAAAGTATATCTGTATTCTAGTTTTATGAGGTGAAAGTATTCTTTGATGTTGCTCCAGTAGTGCTTTCTTGGATTATACATACACTTAAATAATGACATGGGAAATTTCTTTACAGCTGCCTCATTTTGATTTTTGGTGTCTACTAAAAAGTTTAAAGATAAAACAGTCTTGGGAGAAAGTAAAAGCAAATGCTATACCCCTTGTTTTCAGTTAATAATTTTTTATAAAATAGCTTATTTTCCTTGTTGGCATACGTTAATAGAGAATTTACAACATAAAATTAAGCTCTATTATGACCATACTAAATTAAGCTTTTTTATTAGAACATTTTAATTTGAAATAATATCCATTTGGTTCTTTTTATTGTTTAATTAAAAAGAAAAAACTCAAATGAGTATTGTTATTCACCAGCCATGTTTCCTGTTATTTTCTTTAAGCTGAGTCTACTTTGCCTCTGTGTGTGAGTTTATGTGTATGTCTGCAGCATGTACTATTATTAAAATAACACCAATAGATTTCAGAGGTAACCTTCTAAAATAAACTTAGTATAGAAAATAGGTTAATGAAATAATTTAACATTTTAACCATGTGTCTCTGATAACAGACACTTACTAATGCGTGAGAGGATTTTGAGTTATTTGGGCCTGAAAATATATGTCAGTGTCTCAACTTCTAGCTTGGTAATTTGTTCGTTAACTTAGCCACAAATCCAACAACCCATTTATATCACTCTGGACATAATCCACTCATTGATGATATTTCAATACCTCCCTCATCTTCTGCCTCTCTGCTTCACTCTGCTCCATCATGGCCTTCTTGCTCTTTCCCTAGCATACTAAGCACATTGCTATCTCAGCACTTTTGCTAATACCACTGCCCCGATCTGTATTTTCCCATATCTTCCTTTGACTCCCTCAGTATATTCAAGTCTTTGTTTAAATATTACCTCAGAGGTGCATTCTCTGACTAATCTCTGTATAATAATTCCCATCATACTCTATTCTTATTCCCTACTTCACGTTTTTATAGCACTTGTTGCTACCCGTTATTCTGTTTTATTTATGTTTTGTACATTTCTCAATAAATGTAAGTTCCATGAAGACAGGAACTTAATTGGTTTTGTTTCACTACTGTTTTTCCAGCACTCAGAGCTATGACAGATACAGTAGGCACTGTATAAATATTTGTAGTTAGAATGAATTAATGGGTCAGTGAAATATAATGAATAAGTCTGCATGGTTCAGCTCTCAGTCAACTCCACAGAATTAATTTATTGTCAAACAAATGTAGAAATAACAAATGTTATTTCTAATATGGTTCTTTTTATAGGGATTGGTGGTAGATTTTAAATAAGCTCGAATATTATACAACAGACTTTCAAACTTCTTGTTATTTTTTAAAGGAGGACAAAAATGGTAAGGGGGAAAATAATATACATAGTATTTAACTTTGTATTTTATGAAATAAAGTTTAAAAATAATCTTCACTTCAAAATGTGTTTTTTCTTGTCTTTGATAATTTTAAAATATGGTAGTATTTAAATATGATAGGACTGCTGAAGTCCTGCTTAAAGTTGTATATTTATGTTGATTTTGTTTGTTTTCCTATTTATATCTGTTTCCACCCCACCCCACCTTTTTTTAAGAATCCAACTCAAGTCGGAACAGCTCTTCAGGTTTTCTATAATCTTGGAACTTTGAAGGATACTATTACCAGTGTTGTGGATGGATATTGTGCTACTTTAGAAGAAAATATCAACAGTGCATTAGACATAAAAGTTTTGACTCAGCCTTCCCAGTCAGCTGTGAGAGGTATGGATGTGGTTTATATTTAGCTTCTTTATTTATTTATAACTGAGAAGTCTTTTGAATAGTATGTGAAACACTCATGTTTCAAAGCAATCTAATGACTCATTTTTTAGTAGACAGAAAATGAGAGAAGAAATTATGTTTCAGAATTTATTTATATCTTTTTTGTCTAATCAGTGAATTGAACTGGCCAACTGGTATATTCAGAACTTCTAGATAAAGATCCATAAACTGTAGCGTCATTTGGTTGAGAGGAAACAGATGCAAAAAATAAAAAATAAAAAGGCAAGGAACATATTTTTCTTCTAAAATCCTTATCCTCCCATGTACTTCTTAAAGACAGAAAATATTTTTTAAGGAATGCCGTCTCTACTTTAGCTTTCTGGACTTTTCTTTATGATAATTCTGGTACCCAGGAAAAATAATGACTGACTGTGGACATAGAAACTGATAAAATCCTTGGCAACATTACAACTGTAGTAAAGTCTAAAGAAAACTATTAAAGGATGGTAAATTCAAGGTAGAGAGGAGTAGCCTTTCATTAGGAGTCTGTAAACCTTTTCCTACCAAGACATACCTGGTGATATTTACATATACACACAGTTCTCCGTAAAAGAAGATAGAAAAGACCACAGATTATGTCCATCCTTACTTACTTGCTGCCACTCCATCTCTCTGTTTCTCCCCTTATATTCATTCTTCCTTCCTGTTGGTAAGGATGAACTATGCTTTCTCCCAGCAAAGACCAAGCACTCTGCAGTTGTATTAGATCCCATCACTACAAGGTATTGCTTTAGCAGATGCCTTCTTTCTACCAGGTTGACAATGTTTCTTTCTTTGCATCTCTTTCCCTTCACATATAGTTGTGTTATTGTATCTCCTTTTGCTTAAAACCAATTAAATAAATATATCTTAATTTCTTTCTTCAGCTCTACTACCTGCATGTTATTTCTTCAGTCTTCAGGAAAATTTCCCAAAATGTTATCTATAGTTAATGTTTCTGGTTTTTCTCCTCCCATTTTTCTGTTGAAGGCACTCTGATCCATCACAGGGTTGATGGAATAACTCATATTGAATTAATAACAGTTCCTGATCCATAGCTAATAGGAAAAAAAGTGGCTATTTATTAATTTTTAATTTTTTTTAGATTGTTAATTTTTTATTTAAAAAAATATAGATGGAGTTTTGCTATGTTGCCCCAGTTGGTCTTGAACTCCTGGCCTCAAGCAATCCTCTTTCCTTGGCCTCCCAAAGTGTTGGGATTGCAGGCATGAGCCACCATGCCTGGCCTATTATTTTTATATTTGCTATATAAATGTGACCTTACGTAATACTGAATATATATAACTTTTAAGTTGTACTGGATAAAAAGAGATGAAAGAATCTTAGGTCTTAAAGAGATTTTTAAAGGTTAGGCCTAGCCTCTGAATAGGTTTGTATTGAAACTATTCCAGAAAGAGATCTTTGTAAAGAACTTGCCAGAGGAGATTTTACTCTTGGCTTTTCCCAGCAATTATTCTCAGAAAGTTTGATATAATGTTTAAATTTCCAGGAGCAGTTTAATCTCATTCCCCCTTGTGTCGTCAAGAATGGGGAAAAAAATGAAAGCAGTTATTCATGTGCTGTCAATCCTAATGTATGCCTCTTTTGTTGAGAGAATTAAAAAAAGCTGCCTTATTACCATGTGTTGACAAGTGGATACCATGATTTAACACAGAAACCTTAAGCATCAGTTCTTTATTATTTTCTTTAAAAGCATAATCACAATTATTGTGTGTGTATATATATATATATAAATTTTTTTTTTTTTTTTTTTTTAGCTGGAGTTTCTGGTCACCCAAGCTAGAATGCAATTGCACGATCTTAGCTCACTGCAACCTCTGGTGCCTGGGTTTAAGCAATTCGCCTGTCTCAGCCTCCTGAATAGCTGGGATTACAGAAGCCCACCACCATGCCCAGCTAATTTTTATATTTTTAGTAGAGACGGGGTTTCATCATGTTGGCCAGGCTGGTCTCGAACTCCTGACCTCAGGTGATCCGCCCACCTCGGCCTCCCAAAGTGCTGAGATTACAGGCGTGAGCCACCGCGCCCAGCCAATTATTTTATATTTTAAAATGTTTTATAGACAGTATTAATGTTAGTTTCCTGATCTTGTTTATATTGAAGTTATGTAGGAGAATGTCCTTGTTTGTTGGAAATACACATTAAAATATTCAAGAATGATGGGCATGAGGTCAGTAACTTCCAAGTGGTTCAGGGAAAATTTTTTTTTACAATACTTACAATTTTTTTATAAGTGTAAGATTATTTCAAAATTTTAAAAATAATAGGATTCTGTCAGTGTGTGTTTCTGAGAGTGAATGGCTCACAGCTGTTGAGTATCTAACACAACCACTACACAGGAGATTGACAGTCGCATTCATGAGTGTGATGGTGCATGATCTCATTTTCAATCTGAGACTTCCTAAGAAGAGAAAAAAAATTATACACACACGCACATATATAAATATAAATAATACAATTTTAAGTATAAAAAGTAAACAGCCTGTAACTCAATAAGAAAAAGGTAAACAACCCAAGAGAAAAAAATGGATAAAGAATATGAATAGGCAGGTCACAGAAGAACACATTCAATAAGCATGTGAGAAGATATTCAGCCTCTTTTTGGAGGATGAACTAGTTATTAAGGAAATAGAAATTAATCATCAGATTGGCAAAATCTAAGACAGAACTAAGTTCTGGACAAGAGCAGAAACTCTTGTAAACTATGCAAGGAGAATAAAATTCACTTTACTCAATTTTATCAATTTTATCTCTAAGGTGGAAAATGTGTTCACCTTATGATGTTATACTTTCTAAGAATATACTGCAAGGAAAATCTGGCATGTATATGTAAGAATTTTTGTTACCTGGCCGGCGTGTTGGCTCATGCCTGTAATCCCAGCACTTTGGGAGACTGAGGTGGGCAGATCACTTGAGGTCAAGAGTTTGAGACCAGCCTGGCCAACATGGTAAAACCCCCTCTCTACTAAAAATACAGAAAAATTAGCCGGGCGTGGTGGCGCATGCCTGTAATCCCAGCTATTCAGGAGGCTGAGGCAGGAGAATCGCTTGAACCTGGGAGGGAGAGGTTGCAGTGAGCCGAAATAGTGCCATTGCACTCAAGCCTGGGCAACAGAGCAAGACTCCATCTCAAAAAAAAAAAAAAAAAAAAGAATTTTTGTTACCTCATTGTTTACAAATAGTGAAAAAGTACAAGCAATGGATAAACTAGTTTATTAAGGGGATTAATACACAGCATTTAAATTAACAAATTTCCCAGTATAGATAATGGTCAAAAACAGCACATGAAAAAGTTACAGATACATACATACAGCCTGATACCAATTTAAAGCCTAAGAATATGACAGACCATATTAAATTGTTTTTGCATGTGCACATATGTACTAACAGTGTAAATACGCACATTGGAATAATGATCAACAAATTTAAGATACCAGTGCTGGGCATGGTGACACATGCCTCTAATCCCAGCTACTTGGGATGCTGAGGTGGAAGGATCACTTGAGCCTAGGAGTTTGAATCCAGCCTCAGCAACATAACAAGACTCTGTCTCTTAAAAACAAACTACAAAACCCGATACCATTACATCTGTTGAGAGAGCAAGGGAAATGAGACCAGCAAAGGAGAGTACAAGGAAACTTCACTTTATTTAGTGTTGTATTTCTTAAAGCTTGGTGGTTAGTGTTCATAACATTATTCTATATGCTTTTTTGTATGCCTGAAATATTTAACAATAAAACATAAATGTTGAGAAAGTCAAACAGTGAAGAAAGATGATGATGAAGCAAAGTAGACAACACAGAATATCCAAATTTCATCACCCAGATAGATACTGTAGTTGTTACTATACAGTGAAAAGTAGTCCATACATTTATCTGTGCATTATATGTTATAGAAGGGTAAATGGAGAGGCATAAATGGAATTTTAAGATACATGCTTTTTAAAAATACCTTTTTATTATAAAACTTAAAGAAAAACATAAACATGTAGCTTAATGAATTATTATAAGGTGAACACTTCCTAGGCTAAACCAGCGATCCAGAAACCTGTTTATGTACTCCGTACCAATCACAACCAGCCCCTCTCTCTCTCATATATAACCATTGTCATCCTCACTTTTATATTGATAACTTCCTGTGTTTTTCTTTTTATAGTTTTATCATTCATATGTGTGAACTTAAGCACCATAGTTTAGCCCCACCAGTTTTAGAAGTATACTTTTTAAAATAAAAAGTATTTTACTTTCATTCAACAGAATAATTAGAAATTTATGTGACATCAAGGACTTAATGAATTTCCAATTAATGCTTCTTCATAAGAAATACTAGATCCTAATTGATACCTCCAAATTTAAAAGTAGTGAATGAAAGATTTAAAAAAAATAAGAAATTGAAGTCATTTGTTACTAAGTCTGTTGAGTCTTTACTACTAAATGTGGGAAATAGGCATACTTATACTTTTCCCTTCCCGCCCCCCATCCTCATTTGCCAGTTGTTAGTTATGTTATTTTTGAATGATTAATGTTTTTTACATTTTATTCTATTTTTAAATTATTTTAATCTCTGGTTCTTTTAATATGACCTCTGCATTTCTTTTCTCTTTTTTTCAGTAGCTTTAGGGGTACAAGTGGGTTTTGGTTGCATGGATGAATTGTATAGTGGTGAAGTCTAAGATTTTAGTGGATGGTCACCCGAGTCATGTACATTGTACTAATATGCTGTTTTTTAGCCCTCACATCCCTCCTACTCTCCCATTCTGAGTCTCTAATGTCCATTATACCACTCTGTCTTTTTGTACCCATAGCTTAGCTCCCACTTATAAGTGAGAACATATGGTATTCAAGTTTCTGCTCCTCAGTTACTTCACTTAGAATAATGGCCACTTGTTCCATCCAAGTTGCTGCAAAAGATATTATTTCATTCTTTTTTATGGCTGAGTAGTGTTCCATGGTGTGTGTGTGTGTGTATATATATACACAACAGTTTCTTTACCCACTCATTGTTTTGTGAACACTTAGATTGGTTACCTGTCTTTGCAATTGTGAGTTACATTGTGATATACATACACATGTAGGTGTCTTTTTGATATATGACTACTGGGTAGATACCCAGTAGTGGGACTGCTGGATCGAATGGTAGATGTACTTTAGGTCTTTGAGAAATCTCTGTACTATTTTCCATAGAGGTTGTACCAGACCTCTCCATTTCTATATTCATCTCTCCCTTGGCTGGATATCATAATCTAGTTGATTTTTCAAAATGTTTTATGGGTACTGTGCTTTCTGAGTCCTTGTGTAGTTGGTGGTGTGTTTTGCTTTTATGCTTAAATGATTTGGCCAGGTATAAATTTTTATTTACACTTTCTTTCCCTTAGAATTTTGTAGCTGTATGTGTCCAAATAAATAATGTTTTTCTTCCCCCACTGAATTGGAAAATGAGACACAAATGTAGGAGACAAAAAAGGTGACAATTGTAATGTTAGTTTTATTACTGTTAAAAAAAAATACACCGAAAGGCATAGCTTAGATTTATGACCAAATGGATTTTTTAATATATCACCTCAAAATTAAACTTACTTCCCAATTCAGCCTTTCCCACTATACTTACCACTGGTAGAATGTTGGTCAGAATGCACCTTTTATATATGCAAAGCTTCAACAACAGAGAAAGGAAGAGACTGAGCCAATTAGGCTCAGTTTCTTATTCAGATTCACTCATCACTCACTCCTCTTCACATGGGGAGAATTGGATAAGAGGTAGGGAAAGAAGGCAAGAAAGTTACTTTAGCTGAAGTCCCTTCATATGAACGGAAAATGGAGGGTCCCATCTACCATCAGACGTTGCTTTACCAACTGCTGGGTTTTAGTGTTGTATTAGAGAATTATGAGACTAATCAGATTTTTATCCCACACTACCTGACTTGCTTTTTCTTGACTGTCCAAATGGTTTTTCCTTTATCTTTGAAGTTCAGTGACTTCTTTAGGATATGTCTCAGTTGAACGCTGTGTGTCAGTTTTTGTGTGTGTATGTGTGTTAAAGTATGTTCCCTTTTATAGAAAAGTTTTCTTCCATTGTATATTGAATGTTTTCCTGTTCCATTTGTTCTTTTCAAGAACTTTATGCATATATCAGATATTCTCTGTTTTCCATGTCTAGTATCTTCTTGCACTTGGTGCTGGGCATGCTGTGGGAGAGAGGGTGTCATGGATGTGGAAGTCTGATTCTCTTAATATTTGCTTGGAGTTTTTTCACTTTGCTTCCAGTATCTTTGCATTTTACTTCATTTTGTATTATTTCCTCTTGCCTATTTCACATGTGTTACTATGTTTTCACTCTCGTTTATTATAACTTGTGTTTTTTCTAATATGGTCCTTATTTCTATAATATTTTTCCAGTGAGTATTCCAGTAATTTGAGACAGTGGAAAACTGAGTATCCCTTTCTATTCTTTCTTTGGTGATATATGTTTATCACTGCTTTTAGCTTATATTCCTTTCTTCCTCCTTCCTGCCACCCTCCCCAGTGTCTATGTTAAGTCTATTGTTGCTTTGTTTCTGATGATTATTCATCATTGAAAAGTGCTAGCTATTCATTGAAGAATAGTGTAGGCATGGCTGAAGGGAGATACCTGAAGCAGTCTGCAATTTAATTTAGGTTTGTTGTCTACAATAACCATTGACCAGTTTGTTACTTCTTTTTACCTTGGGAGCACATCTGTTCTCAAAATTTGCATCATTCAGAAGCTTAGTATGGCTACCAGTAAAGCTATTTAAGCCATTTCAGTGTTGAATCCTAGCATTCTCAGTATTTTTTTTTTCTTCATCTCACTTTACCTCCAGTAGTCTGCCCCACACTCAGGGGCTAATTCTTAAACAACATAAATATCAATTCCTTATGATTTTCCTTCAGCTTTTCTTTTTTTTTTTTTTTTTTTTTTTTTTTGTCATTTTGCAATGTTGAACATTCCCTGGCCTGTCCTAATCTGTAGATCTCAGCTGTAATCAAAGAATCCTTAGATAGCTTGTGCAAATTCTTACAATTGGTTTTAAGAGCAATTTACTTCTTCCTAATGATCTAAGGTGTCATCTCTCTGGTTCCTTCTTCATTTTGACTTATCTACAGCAACTGGCATGCATGCTTCATAATCTCAAGTTTGAAGTTTTGTTTGATTGTTTGTGTCTTTGAAATTGACATTTTCTATCTTTTGTTTGATTTTCTTTTCATTGGCATTCAAGAGAAGAGAGTAAGAAAATGATTTTATTCCACCGTCACTAACTAGAAACCATTTTTCAAGTATTATATCTATGAGGAACTCTTAGTTTATTTTATCACTTACATAAAACTTAAGAGACTATTTTGTTTCTTGAGTCTATTAAAGCTAACTGGTAATGGCAATGTCTTGTATTTCTGCTTGTATTTAAAAGAATAATAGGTTAAAGGGTTTCATAATTATAATAAAACCAAGTCATACATATTCCAGGAATTTGACCTATTTTTTTAGTATTCATAAAGGCACTACATACCCTTTTCTCACTGTTATGAGTTCATTCTTTATATAACATATGAGACAGCTGCAGATTGTTACAGTATTATCCATTTCCTGTATACCTTCCCTTAATAGTCTTTGCATAGCACTGCAAATATTCTAAAGATTCATTAGATGCGGATTTCAAACAGATAATATCTATATTTTTTAAGCCAACATCTTTCTCATAGATTATTTTATTGCTTGCTACTGTTATCAGATTAAAGAAATAACTGCATCTGTTTGCTAAAGGTACATGTAATTCTTTTCTGAATTGTTGAAAAACTACAGTGAGGTAGTTGACACACACAGTCCCTCTGGTTTTCTTGATCTTGTCCTCCTTAAAAGCAGGGATATAGAATGACTAACCAATGATGAGTTCTTCTACTGCCTGGTATTAAACGTCAGTTTGGAGTGAAATGTATGCCTTTCAATTTGGGATTAAAATTTCTATTTTTTTATTGAAACATTTCAAACCTTTACATAAAGATTCCTGTGTGTGTTATATACAAGAAAATTCTTAGTCTCACTCTCTAGAAATTTCGTATTGATACATTAATATTATTTAAGGTGCAGTTCATACTCAAAATTTTATTGTTCCCCAAAATGTTGTTTATGTAAGTTGATTTCCCCTGACTGAAACCAATGAAACCAATCAGGGATCATGCTTTTCTGTTGGCTGTCTTGTCTCTTTAATAAAAAACAGCACCACTGGCTTTTTTGTTGTTGTTGTTAATGGCATTAACATTTTTTGGAGAGCCTCATAATCTGAATTTGTCTGGATTCGTGTGATATTTTCTTCATGATTAGCTTCAGGGTAAACATACTATTGGTAAGATGATGTTGTGTACTTCCTATTACATCATATCAGGAAAACAAAATTATTTCAGTTTGTTTCATTATTGCTGATGCTAAATTAGATCACTTCATTAAATTGGCATATGCCAGAGTGCTCCTTGTAATACTATGCTCTTATCTTTGTAATTAGTAATTTATAGGTGCATACTTTGAGACTATGTGATGAATATCTTGTTCTCAATAACTTTTTTTTTTTTTTTGAGATGGAGTTTTGCTCTTGTTACCCAGGCTGGAGTGCAATGGTACGATCTCGGCTCATTGTAACCTCCGCCTCCTGGGTTCAAGCAATTCTCCTGCCTCAGCCTCCCGAGTAGCTAGAATTACAGGCATGCAACACCATGCCTGGCTAATTCTGTATTTTTAGCAGAGATGGGGTTTCTCCATGTTGGTCAAGCTGGTCTCGAATCCTGACTTCAGGTGATCCGTCCACCTTGGCCTCTCAAAGTTCTGGGATTACATGCATGAGCCACCATGCCCGGCCAATAACATTTCACTTAGTGTTTTGGTATCCATCGATACTCTTTGTCTTAATTAACTTTGCAACCAGTAGTTGTAAAATGGTGATTTTTTTTTCTAATTCTGTCATTCTTTCTGCATTTATTAGCTGATACTCTTTTGTAAAGAGCATTTCCATCCTTTTTAAACATTTGAGTTTCACTGTGTACTCATGAATTATTTTTTAATCATTGTTTTATAATTCATTACCATCAGTATTATTTTGGATGGCCAAATTCTCTGAAATTTGTGTTGTGGAAGCCCCCTCCAGTCAACTTGATGTATCCTTTTGAAAAATTTCATTTGTCTTCAAATACTTTATTGCTCACTGGCACAATATCTACCACATTCACCTTGTATTTTCACTGCTCCAAATATGAAATCACTCTTTTTTCCACTGAATCCTGCTTTGTTTTTATTGGAGAATGGTCTTAGAAATCAAAATTTGGACACTACATATACTTATTACTATTGAGGAACCATTGTCTCTCTGACTTTCCAGTGGATAGAGTGGGGAAATACCTCTGATTCCTGTTACGTATTTGTGTCTTTATTCTGTTTACACTGAGAACCTTATTTTGCTCCATTCCAAAATATACCTAAACTAGTTTCAGGATTACTACTTCAATACCACATCCAGCAAAAATCTATTTAATAAAGTTCAGTATTTCTTTGTAATTTTTTTGTGCATAAATGTGTCTCACTAAAGTCAGCGTTCTGTAAGTAAAAATTCCGTGAATTAAAATTGTTTTCCTCCTGTGTGGTTATATTGTCAATTTGATATACAGTTAGTTTTATTTGTTTCGGTATGTGTTTATGTTCAGTTTTAGGGTTTTTTTTTTTTTTAAGAAAGGGGATACAACACACATACACACACATGTGCATACACAGGATAAATGGGAAATTAGTGAAGATGGTTTCCTACAAGGGGCATGAGAGTGGTAGGAAACAGAGGAAGACTCACCTCCATCCCTGTACCTTTCACCTGTTTCATTTCCCACCATTCTCACACCTCTTGTAGGAAACCATTTTCATCAATTTCCATTTTATCCTTCCTGGGTATGTGTCGCTTCCCTTTCTTTCTTAAGCATAAAAGGTTAAGATTCTTACTCAATAAATTATTTCCTAAAGAAGGAACTTCTCATTTTTTAGCTTGCGTATGGTTTTTATAATAACATATATATATATATTTGCCTTTGGAAAACTTTATTTTTCATTGTTCTTTCTCACTCATAACCAGGGGGACCTGGACGATCTACCATGCCAACCCCAGGAAATACTGCAGCTTTGCGTGCCTCACTCTGGACCAATATGGAGAAACTTATGGATCATATTTATGCTGTTTGTGGACAGGTAAATATTTGAAGGAGTGGAAAAAACATTAATATGGATTAACTCCTGGTTATTCCAAATTGTGTGACCTTGGGCAGGTTTTTTAATCAATGAGCATTCAAAATACCTCCACTAGCTGATGATAATGTACGTAAAGGTTGCCATTTCCCTTTTCTTGCTTTTTCTATTGCCTAAGCTTTACATTTGTTTCATTTAAGGTACAACATCTACAAAAAGTATTGGCCAAGAAGAGAGATCCTGTTTCTCACATTTGTTTCATTGAAGAAATAGTTAAGGTATGTTTAAAGGAAAATATTTTTACATCTTTCTTGTACAAAACAGGAATATATGAGTCAGCATCATTTGTGTTACTACTACCTTATAGAGTGGCTACATATCAGATGGCAATAGAGAAGTGTATTTCTTGACAACTATAATAATGTTCCTTGCAATATAAATGTAATCATGGGGCTGGGCGTGGTGGGTCACGCCTGTAATCCCAGCACTTTGGGAGGCCAAGGTGGGTGGATCATGAGGTGAGGAGTTCAAGACCAGCCTGACCAATATGGTGAAATTCTGTCTCTAATAAAAATACAAAAATTAGCCGGGCGTGGTGGCATATGCCTGTAGTCCCAGCTACTCGGGAGGCTGAGGCAGGAGAATTGCTTCAAACCAGGAGGCAGAGGTTGCAGTGAGCTGAGGTCACGCCACTGCACTCCAGCCTCGGCGACAGAGTGAAACTCTATCTCAAAAATAAATAAATAAACTAAAATAAATGTAATCATATTTGTTTATGGAGTAGCTGCCAGCAATAGTATTATTTATAGATTAATTTCTGTAATGTATATACTAATTTCTCATTTTCTGTCATATAAATGACAGCTTATAAGTGCTTTAAAACTTCCACTAGAGAATAAGGTGAAAACTTTTGATAAATACGACATTTAAATAGAAGTCATTATAATGTGTTTACTGAAGGTCATTGATTTTTCCCATAAAGTACTTTGCTATATTCATTTTCCATATTCTGAGATCTTTCTGTCTTCCACCAATCTACTAGCCTCATGGGCCATAAGAATTCTTTCCATGCATAGGAATCCCTGATTCTACATTTTATTCATTATATTGATGTGTTTTTGATAATGATTCATAGGATAATGATTCTACCGATTGTTAAATCCTAACCTCCAGTAGCCCAAAGAAAAAAGTTTCCTGAGTTTCTAGTGTTATGGTATAGGTAATTTCCTTTGTAAGTCCACAATATTAAATATTTTGTATACTGTGTGGAAAGCCTCCAGGACTAGCCCTCAAGTTTGATGATTTATTAGGAGGATGGATAGGACCCAGCGTCACAGGATCCTTAGGGTGTCACTTCGCCAGCCAGAAACTCCTGTGACCAGTGGTGCCTTCTGCCTGAATATCGCTCATGCCCGCTGGGCTCGTTCCGCCCTCTTGGCCTAGCAGGTTGCACTTGGCTCACACTACCAGCCCAGACCCCACAACTGACAAACATGAGCCAGGGACAGAGCAGTGAGTGGTATGTGAGTGACAAGCTTGGGGTCCAGCCACTGTGCACAGCCAGGCACACTGGCTGCTGTGGCAGGGCAGGCAGCTCCAGGTGTCAGCACAGGTGCTAGCTCCATGTGAGACTGCAGCTGGATCAGATGTACTACACACAGCTTATGCTGCAGGCATCTAGATGAGGGGAATGTAGCCCACATCTAGATGAGGGGAATGTAGTGACACCTGGAAACTCAAGAGACACCAGGAACTGCAGAATCCCAAAGAAGGTGTCACAACCCTGGCTCGGGGTGCATCTAGGTGTGGGCTTCCCAAAGGGCCACAGCTCTTCTCTCCTTCTTGTTGCCCAGAATGTGGTGAGCAGTGGAGGCATGTTTCATCCCTGTTTGTGTTACAGCTTTTTTAGTCCAGCCATTTGGTGGGTCCTGAGTTCTTGTCCCACATCCAAGAAGAATGAGGTATGTGGACAACTGGAAGGTGAGCAAGGCAGAGAGGAGCTTCACTGAGTGGCAGACCCGAAGTGGGTAGCTCCTTTCTGCAAGCAGATCGTCCCCACAAGTGTCCAGCTCTTAGTGGAGAGGTGACCTGCAGTATTTAGCTCTGTTCCACAGGCAGACCATCCTGATGTCTGTGCAGCCCTCAGTGTAGAGGAGATCTGAAGTGGGTAGGTCCCATCCACAGGCTGGTCATCCTGACATCCATGCAGCCCTCAGCATAGAGGAGACCTAGAGTGGTTAGCTTATACCTGCGGGCAGGTCATCCTGTCATCTGCGCAGCCCTCAGCATAGAGGAGACCTCGAGTGGTTAGCTTGTATCTGCTGGTAGGTCATCTTGCCACCTGTGCAGCCCTCAGTGGAGAGGAGACCCAGAGTGGGTAGGTCCCTTCTGCAGGCAGGTCACCTTGATGTATGTACAGTCTTCAGTAGAGAGGAGACCTGGAGTGGGTAGGTCCCATCTGCAAGCTGGTCATCCTGACATCTGTGTGGCCCTCAGCAGAGAGGAGACCCAGAGTGCTTAGCTTGTATCTGCTGGCAGGTCATCCCGTTGTTTGTGCAGCCCTCAGTACAGAGGAGACCCAGAGTGGGTAGCTCCTGTCCACAGGCAGATAGTCCTGTCGTCTGGCTGAGTCAGGGGTTTTTATGGGCTTCAGAAGGGAGGAAGGGTGTGCTGATTTGTCCATGGTTGGCCATGGGCAGGCCTGGAAAAAGCACCATAACTTGTCACTCCAGTCCGCAGAACTGGCAGTCCAGCCCCCAGGCTTCAGATCCCTGGCTTAAATGTTGGTCCTCACCATGGACTCGCCCATTTCTGCCCAGGAGCCTTTCTGCCTCCTGCCACCATCAACCTGTCATCCACAGCACTCAGGCTGTTCATGCCACGGGGCACCTGCAGGCCCTCACTGAGCTGCCCTCAACACTCCCTCGGCCTTCCTCCCATGCTTGTTGGTGTCCAAAGTCTGGAGTGGGCCAAGGTGGCAGAGGGCTGGTGTGCTGCCCTGAGTCTGCACACACCTGGCTGAGATGTGACAGCACCTGGGCTCGGCCTCAGTTGTGCTGTGAAATCAAAGTAGGTGCTGGGAGTTGGGAGAGGCCAGGCAGTGGGAGCAGGCACTTTCAAGCCTGTGGAGGCAGGGGGCTTCCCAGGTCACCAAGAACACAGGGATGCCTGGGTCCACAGCTGTGGCTGGGCAGCTGCAGCTGTAGCCATGAGGGCAGGGTCCCACCCCTCCAACTCAGAAGTGGGTGGGACTCCTGCCAGCTCTCCACTGCAGCCAGCCTCATGGCAGTGGCTGCTCCAGAGAGGTCGCCCCTGCCATCGCCAGCATATAGTTGTACTCATGGCTATGATTTGTGACAATGAAAGGATGCGCAGCAAAATCAGCAAAAGGAAAAAAAGATGCATGGGGCAAGATCTAGAGGAGACCAGATGCAAGCTTCCAAAGAGTCCTCTCTCACTGTAGTTAGACTTGACCCCCTTGATTATTCCAGTAGCAAGTTATGACAGCATGCAAAAAGTGCTGTCTACTGGGAAAACTCAACTTGAGCTTATGAGTCCAGAGTTTTATCAGGGGTTAGTTAATGCCTAAAGACATACCAAAATTCTAGACTCCCAGTAGAAAAGCAGGTGTTCAGTATAAACCATATTGTTTGTCACAGACAGTTTAGGTACAGTGAACAACTCTTAACAGAGAATTATGGGGTCCTTCTCAAAATCTGAGTTCCTAGATGCTAGCCAAATACCAACCTTGCAATCAGGATTTCCTGACAATAGCTACTCAGACCTGTTATGTTAACTCTTTTGTGCACGTATATTTATATCAGTAACTTTACCCTGCTTTCTACTTGGCTTTCAATTGTGTGAAAGAAACAATGAGATGCTTTTGTCAAGGTGTATAGTCACTCATGTTTTGCATTTATTACTAGATGGGATAATTAATATTGGGCCTTCATATTTACAGACAAACAACTATACTTGCAGTGTTTTCATTCATTTGTTGTGGTTTTGGCTTTCTACACAAATGAATCTATTTAGTCTTTATGTGCAGTGGCCTCATTTCGAGCTTTTATTATCAAATACTTTGCATATTGTTATTCCTTTTGAACAATTTAATATTCTACAAACAACATAAGAACAGTTATAATGAAACAACTGTACTCAGGAGAATCTAAGGAAAATATCAAAAGTAAATAATACTGCTATTTAGGAGGCTTATGTTTGTAATATTATTACATTGGGTAGAGTTTCTACATAAAAACACATATAAATTCTTGATAACAATAAATTATTAAGGTGAATGAACACTGGCAACTTGTGCAGGCCAGATTTTAAATGCGTATGAGTCCAGGCACAGTGGCTGATACCTGTAATCCCAATAATTTGGGAGACTGAGGTGAGAGAATCTTTTGATGCCATGAGTTTAAAACCAGCCTGGGCAACATAGGGAGACCACATCTCTACAAAAACTAAAACAATTAGCCAGGAATGGTAGTGTACACCTGTAGTTCCAGATATTCAGGAGTCTGAAGCAGGAGGATTGCTTGAGCCTAGGAGTTCAAGGTTATAGTCAGTTAAGATTGCACCACTGCACTCTAGCCTGAGTAATAAAGTGAGACCCTTTCAGGAAGAAAGAGAGAGAAGGAGAGAAAGAGAGAAAGAAAATGCATATGAATCATTACTGATTAAAAAGGATTGTTAGGTATAGGGATATATGCTTTTTATTCACCTATTTCATGTACTTAAAAAACTTCTCATTAAAATAAAACCATTAAAGATTGCTGTTTCAGACACTATTCTCACGCTATTTAAGAATATATTCCTATGCCACACACACATACCTATTTATATATAAATTTTAATGTAAATTACCAGTTTAGTTGAAATTTTTTTAAGGGCAATATTTATGAAAAAATTTAGTCTCTTGGAATTCAGTGTACCTATCTATAGAAAAGATCAGTCTTTTGTGAAAAGTCCAAAATGACGTTTCCCTCTCCATACTTGGGAATTCCAGAGCAAGAGAAAAGTAAAAAAACCTCAAAAGACAGCACATAAGGTCCTCAATATTTAGCACAATTTCTTTGAATGGTCTTTTTCTTCAAATACATCTTTATTATAAAGCTGTAAACAAATATTTTTGCTAAGGATGTAACTACCAAGTAAGAACATTATTTTTCTAGTTAAGATAATTATCATTGGCAATAGAACCTTTATAAAAAGTTCAGGATTTTTAGAATGATTTGGGGACCCTAAATAATAACGCTTATATTCTTTAGGAAATTTCAAACTTGAGTAGACAACGATATATCTCTTGAGTCACTGAAGAGTGATATATGCACCAAAATCTCTTTTTCTAACCTCTTTTCAAGGAAAAGGTTATGAATAGAATGTTCTTCTTACTCTACAAGTTTTTGCAGTTTTAAGATATTTAAGAAGGATATATCCTGATATTGAAAATTCTTTCTAATTTAGTGGCTTAGCCTTTTACACCTGTGAATAAAATTTTATTTATTTTAAAAATGAAGTAAAACAGTATAACTAGTTCAGGATGAAATAATATTAGAATTACATCATATGCTTCCTATAATATTTGTTCAGAAATTAATACTTTTTTTCCCTAGGGCAATCATTACTAGCAAGTATCTTTTCTACACTGGAATCTGTCTATAACAGACTTAAAAAAAATGTACTGAAATTTTTTTCTTTTTTTTATTCAAAAGCTGCCTTTGAGAAAGTAAAATTTTTAATTACTTATTTTATTATTTTGTTTTATTTATTATGAGTCAGGGTCTCACTGTATTGCCCAGGCTGGTTTCAAACTCCTGGGCTGAAGTGATCTTCCTGCCTCAGCCTCCCAAATAGCTGTGACTGCAGGTTTGCACCACCACACTTGGCTGAAATTTGTACAAGCAGTAGTCTGTACTTGAAATTCACTGAAAGCTAATTTAATAGATATGTTTTCTTTGGTTTAGAAAATGGATTATAAACAGTTACATTATTAATTCCATATCAAGTAGGAAAATTAAGAATATATTTTCCAGATTTCTTTGTTTTCAAACCATTTGGTTTCAATGCTTCTGTAATTCACTGTAAGCTATGATGAAATTTCTGTATTTCATTTCTTCTTACCAGCTTGTTTTATTTCTACCCAAAAAAGCCTTTATTTTACATTTTCCTTTGTTAAATAATTTTTATAATTATTGTCCTTTTATTGTAGTTCAATATCTAGAGTTGTTTTAAAATTAATTTTGATTTTAGGGCAGCTTTAGGTTTACAAAATATTGAGCAGAAAGTACAATGTTATGCATTATGCAAGAACCATGGGACTATACCGTGCTAAGAGCAAACTCTAATGTGTAAACTGTGGACTTCAGTTGATAATGTAACAATAGTGGTTCATCAGTTGTAACAAATATACCACTGTTCACAATGCTTTATGCAAATGTATGTCATGAATCCACCATTCCAGTATCACACAGAATGGTTTTACTAGTTTCACTTCCCAAAAAATTCCTTTCTACCTATTCATTCCTACTTGAATTCCCTTCTGAACCTCTGTAACCACTGATCTTTTTACTGTCTTCATAGTTTTTGCCTTTTTCAAAATGTCATGTAATTGGAATTATACAGTAAGTTGCCTTTTCTGAATGCCTTCTTCCACTTAGCAATATGCGTTTAAGGTTCCTTCAATGGCTTATTTTGGTTTGGTAGTTTTCTTCTAATCACTGAACAATATTCCATTGCCTAGCTATACCTCAGTTTGTTTATTCATTCATTTATTGAAAGATATTTTGGTTGCGTCCAGTTTTTGCCAGTTATGAATAAAGCTACTGTAGACATTATTGTGTGGTTTTCACCTCTTGCTCAGCCTTTTGCATTTTCATCTCTTTTGGGTAAATACATAAGAGTTGCGCTTGCTGACTGTATTGTTAGACTATATGTAGCTTAGTAAGAAACTGCCAAACTGTTTTTGAAAGTTGCTGTATCATTTTGTATTCCCATTAGCAAAGAAAGAGAGTTACTTTTGTTCCCCATCCTTGCCAATATTTGGATTTGTCAGTGTTTTGGAGATCGGCTATTCTAATAGGTGTGTCATGGTAACTCATTTTTTAAATTTATGTTTTCCTGTAGATTTTTTAAACCTGTGTTTGTGAGAAAATTTTTCATTAGTTAATGTTCTAAGACTTCATCTGTAGAAAAAACAAACTGTCCTGCTACGCTCATTATTTAATAATCTTTATGTGTTATATTTTATAGTCAGTCTGCCCAGATCCCTAAAATATGTTAAAAGTGGTCCAAAATAATTTACATAAGAGTAAGTATAGCTTTTAGCATTTGGAAAGCCAAATCTTAAAGGGCTTCTTTTGTAACAGTTATTCAAGTAGTGTCAAGGGCAGGACAATGTAGTAATTAAGAATTTTGACCTGCTATCAGACAGGTATGATTTGCTACCACTGATTGTGCAACCTTGGGTAGGTCATGTAATCTCAAATATCAGATGAGGATAATAATAGTGCCCACAGAACTGAGATATTATGAGGGAAAGTGAAATAATTTACACTTATTTCAGAGACTGACTTGACAATTTGCTATCATAATTATTAATTCAGTTTCGCTTTTTTGTTGTTGTTGTTGTTGAGACGGAGTCTCACTCTTGTCGCCCAGCCTAGAGTGCAGTGGCGTGGTCTCGGCTCACTGCAACCTCCGCCTCCTAGGTTCAAGCGATTCTCCTGCCTCAGCTTCCTGAATAGCTGGGATTACATGCACCCACCACCATGCTGGCTAATTTTTGTATTTTTAGTAGAGATGGAGTTTCACCATATGGGTAGGACTGGTCTCGAACTCCTGACCTCATGATCCGCCTGCCTTGGCTTCCCAAAGTGCTGGGATTATAGGCATGAGCCACCACACCCAGCCCTAGTTCAGTCTTTCTTTAATGCTGGAACTTTTATATAGGGTTCATAAACTGAACAAATGCTAGCTAGTAAAGAATCTTGCCATGTGAGAAAGTCAGTTTTACTCAGTAGTTCTAATAACATGATATGCTTGTACATTAATTGATGTAGAGTATCAGAAATTTAAATTATTGATCATGCTTCCTTAAATAAACTAATGTCAAGGATTTCCTCTGAATGTATCAAATCATATGTCTCACTTTACTAAAGTGAGTTATGACCTAACGTGGTAATTTTGTTGCTATAACAATTTGAAAATGATATTTCTTAGTTGTGTTCTGCAGAGTCTTGTGAGAATTATTAATTCTAAAGTATATACTTTTTTTAGCAGACAAAAAATAAACATTTGGGTTTACTTTAAAACTTAGTTTTCAATGTAATCCTCCAAATATGCCTTGGTTTTTGCTAAGATTTTGATTTCAGATGACAGAGACAACTGTGTAGATTAGTGTTCAAAGTGTAATCTTAGGAATGTTCAAGGGAAAAAAAATCCCACATGATAGTGGGATTCTGTAATGCTTTACTAGTTCAGAAGTTTTTACAGTTGATGGCTATAATGGTATAAAGGATATATCAGAATATAAAGAGGGCATAAATGGTCTGAATATAAAATAAAACTTGACCAATTATATCTGGTGTAACAATCTTAGGGACATTTTAGTTTATTATTATTTCATTCCTCTCAGCTCATAACCTAAGCGGTATTTTAGTTTAAATGTAGAGCCTTTTGAAAGCTATTTTTTAATTGAGATAACTAATTCTGCTTCTGCATTAATAAATGCTCTGGCTAGCTTATAAAATTATCCTGTTATTTTCAGTTTATATGATAATTTGAAAAGATATATTTATACCTATCCATATTATTTTGGCATTTTAACGTTGAATATTATTTTTCTCTTACTATATTCTGTTTTCTTTTTTTTTTTTTTTTTTTTGAGACGGAGTCTCGCTCTGTCGCCCAGGCTGGAGTGCAGTGGCGGGATCTCGGCTCACTGCAAGCTCCGCCTCCCGGGTTCACGCCATTCTCCTGCCTCAGCCTCCCAAGTAGCTGGGACTACAGGTGCCCGCCACCTCGCCCGGCTAATTTTTTGTATTTTTAGTAGAGATGGGGTTTCACCGTGTTAGCCAGGATGGTCTCGATCTCCTGACCTTGTGATCCGCCCACCTCGGCCTCCCAAAGTGCTGGGATTACAGGCGTGAACCACCGCGCCCAGCCACTATATTCTGTTTTCTATGGTTTATATGAATGGATGCAGTATTTCATTTTTAAATTAGAATTTTAGGTTGATTATTAGACATTAAGAAATTCAATGTTGGTATCTTTAAAACCAGTTAAGAGTTTTATTATCACTGTCTAATCACCAGTACTATATAATACTTTGCTTGAAAGTGAGTGTAGCAAATTATTGACAAATTATTAAGGATCCACACATTGGAAAACAGGCTGTAGATTCTTATTTGCAGGATTAAGCCAGCTTAGCTGTGTGGGGGATTATAGATATGATACTTTGATTTTCTAAGCCAGAAGTTTTTATCATTAAACAGAATCTTGTAATCATGTGTATAGGATGCATTAAACTAAATTTGGAGAGCATTCAGCATTTTCAGTTGCTGTACTAATGAGAATCGTAACTATGAAAAATAATGTGTTTTCTTTTACCCTTTTAGACATATCAAATGATTTGAAAATAGCATTAAAGACTGTAACTCAAAAATTTAGGATATCCAAATTTGAAATCTTTTCAATATTATGAGATAAATGTTCAACTTATTTATCTATGGAATCTCAATTTGATTAAAATATTGAATAGGGATAAACCAGGTAGATTTCTGGTTTTTTTTTTGTTTTTTTTTTACAATTACCTTGCAAAGGACCATTTTTTTTTTCAATTTTATTATTATTATACTTTAAGTTTTAGGGTACATGTACACAACGTGCAGGTTTGTTCCATATGTATACATTGTATACATGTGCCATGTTGGTGTGCTGCACCCATTAACTTGTCAATTAGCATTAGGTATATCTCCTAATGCTATCCCTCCCCCCTCCCCCCACCCCACAACAGTGTGATGTTCCCCTTCCTGTGTCCATGTGTTCTCCTTGTTCACTTCCCACCTATGAGTGAGAACATGCGGTGTTTGGTTTTTTGTCCTTGAGATAGTTTGCTGAGAATGATGGTTTCCAGCTTCATCCATGTCCCTACAAAGGACATGAACTCATCATTTTTTATGGCTGCATAGTATTCCATGGTATATATGTGCCACATTTTCTTAATCCAGTCTATCATTGTTGGACATTTGGGTTGGTTCCAAGTCTTTGCTATTGTGAATAGTGCCGCAATAAACATGTGTGCATGTGTCTTTATAGCAGCGTGATTTATAATCCTTTGGGTATATACCCAGTAATGGGATGGCTGGGTCAAATGGTATTTCTACTTCTAGATCCCTGAGGAATCGCCACACTGACTTCCACAATGGTTGAACTAGTTTACAGTCCCACCAACAGTGTAAAAGTGTTCCTATTTCTCCACATCCTCTCCAGCACCTGTTGTTTCCTGACTTTTTAATGATCGCCATTCTAACTGGTGTGAGATGGTATCTCATTGTGGTTTTGATTTGCATTTCTCTGATGACCAGTGATGATGAGCATTTTTTCATGTGTCTTTTGGCTGCATAAATGTCTTCTTTTGAGAAGTGTCTGTTCGTATCCTTTGCTCACTTTTTGATGGGGTTGTTTGTTTTTTTTCTTGTAAATTTGTTTGAGTTTATTGTAGATTCTAGATATTAGCCCTTTGTCAGATGAGTAGGTTGCAAAAATTTTCTCCCATTCTGTAGGTTGCCTGTTCACTCTGATGGTAGTTTCTTTTGCTGTGCAGAAGCTCTTCAGTTTAATTAGATCCCATTTGTCAATTTTGGCTTTTGTTGCCATCGCTTTTGGTGTTTTAGACATGAAGTCCTTGCCCATGCCTATGTCCTGAATGGTATTGCCTGGGTTTTCTTCCAGGGTTTTTATGGTTTTAGGTCTAACATGTAAGTCTTTAATCCATCTTGAATTAATTTTTGTATAAGGTGTAAGGAAGGGATCCAGTTTCATCTTTCTACATATGGCTAGCCAGTTTTCCCAGCACCATTTATTAAACAGGGAATCCTTTCCCCATTGCTTGTTTTTGTCAGGTTTGTCAAAGATCAGATAGTTGTAGATATGTGGCATTATTTCTGAGGGCTCTTATTATTAGTAAGTACTCTTATCTGTAAAGGTTAGAGGATTTCTTGTTTTACTTGTATAGGGACCAGATGTTCTTAAAGGCTGTGTCACTACAGTACATACAAATTCTACATAAATTAGAAAAAGATGATTTTTAATGTACTATTAAGCTTGCGAAAAATAAGAGAATCTTTGAGGGGCATCCATGCATATATAGATACATGTAAAGATAAAATAGTTGAACCTGTAGTGAGGATTTGTGAGTGATAGGTGAATGCACAAGATGGGGTTGTCTTGAGGTCAAATACCCACATCAGTGATGGGATCAATACTCTGTGCTTTGGGGATGTAGCAAGATGGAAGAAGAAACTTGAGAGTCTTGCATTACACCAAGACCCAGGGTAGTGGCTAACATGATCCTTAATTGGTAACAACGTGTCATTCCCGTAAGAAACAAATGCAGTTCCTCTGTAGAGGAACACATTTTTAGTTTTAGCCACCAGAATTCTTATATTAAGTTTAGACAAATATAAGCTCACAGTAAAAAATTGCCAATCTCATAAACTAGAATCTGTGAATGAGAGCAGAAAAAATAAAAACAATGCAAAATGGCTTTTAGACTCTCAAGGATGCTATGGATTTCAGATAGTAGAATTATCTGATAAAGAATCTAAGGTATCTGTAAATGAAATACTTTAAAATATGGAATAAAAAATTGAGAAACAAGTGACTTAAAAATTACTAGGTAGATATGAAAATGAACCAGTAGAACGTTTAGAAATAAAAATCAAGTTGTCGAAATAAAAGAGCAGATACAGTAAACACAAGATTACAAAAAGCTAAAGAGCAAATTAGAGGTCTGGCAGATAGAATCAGTGAAATTATCCAGAATGCCTCATAAAGACTAGGTTATGAAGAATATGAAAGAGAAATTTAAAAATTACGGAGGATCCAATGAGGTTTTAATATAAGCCTAACTGGAAGAAGAAAGCCAGGAAACTCTAAAAGAAAATTTGTATGATCCTCTCAATACATGCAGGAACAGCATTTGACAGAATCCAACATCTATGTCTGATAAAAAGTTCTAGGCAAACTAGAAATATAGAGGGAAGCTTTCTCAACCTAATGAAAGGCATCTAAGAAAAACGAACAGGTAAAATCAGACTGGGTGCAGTGGTTCATGCCTGTAATCCCAGCACTTTGTGAGTCCGAGGCGGGTTGGGTCAATTGAGTTCAGGAGTTTGCGAACAGCCTGGCCAACATGGTGAAACCCTGTCTCCACTAAAAATACAAAAAAGACTGGGCGCTGTGGCTCACGCCTGTAATCCCAGCACTTTGGGAGGCTAAGGCGGGCAGATCACCAGGTCAGGAGATCGAGACCATCCTGTCTAACACAGTGAAACCCCCGTGTCTACTGAAAATACAAAAAATTAGCCGGGCGTGGTGGCCGGCGCCTGTAGTACCAGCTACTTGGGAGGCTGAGGCAGGAGAATGGCGTGAACCCGGGAGGCGGAGCTTGCAGTGAGCCGAGATCGGACCACCGCACTCCAGCCTGGGCGACAGAGCGAGACTCTGTCTCAAAAAAAAAAAGCCAAGCATGATGGCACGTGCCTGTAGTCCCAGCTACTCTGGAGGCCGAGGCAGGAGAGAATCACTTGAACCTGGGAAGCGGAGGTTGCAGTGAGCAGAGATCGCACCACTGCACTCCAGCCTGGGCGACAGAGCAAGACTCCGCCTCAAAAAAAAAAGTCATATTTAATGGTGGAACCCTAATGCTTCTCCCCTAAAATAGGGAAAGGATTTGTTTTTGTTTTCACTACTTCTGTTTAACATTGTTCTAGCTAGTGGAATAGGCAAGAAAAATAAAAGGATTCCAGTTTAGAAGTGAAGAAAATTACCTTTATAGATTACATGATTGACTATATGGAAACTCCATTGGAACCTACAAAAGCTATTAGGGCTAAGTCAATATATAAAAGTCAGTTGTACTTCTGTAAATTGGTAATGTACAGTTAAGATATATGTTTAAAAATATGTACAATTCAGTATAATATGCAAAAGTTGTACTTTTATATATTAACAATGTACAATCCATTGTTCAGGAATTGATCAATGTTAAAAACTCCAGAGCCAGGCATGTTGGTACATGTGTGTAATCCTAGCTACTCAGCAGGCTGAAGTGGGAGGATCACTTGAGCCCAGGAGTTCGAGTCTGCAGTGGGCTATAATGGCATCACAGCACTCCAGCTTGGGCAACAAAGTGAGACCCTATCTCTTTAAAAAAAAAAAAGAAAAATTCTAATATTGATAACTGTACTATGGTTACATAGGAAAATGTCTTTATTCCTAGGAGATCACTTAATTATTTAGTGGTACAGAGCCATGATGTGTGCAACTTACTTTCAGATGGTTCAGAGACACATAAAATGAAGATGGTAAAGTAAATGTGTCTCGTGTTAACAAGTGGTAACTATAAGTATGCAAATAATGAGTGGGTTTTTGGGGGGCTATTCCTGCATATTTTCTGTAAATTCAAAATTATATCAAATTAGAAAATAAGAGGACAATAAGAAAAACTTTATGCTAATTTTTAAATACAAGTAGAAATGGACAGATTTCTAGAAAAATACAACTTTCCAAAACTGCTCAAGTAGAATTAGAAGCCATCCACAGTCCTGTAGCCTTTAAAGAAATTCAATCAGTAGTTGAAAGTCTACAGATCAAGAAACTAGTAGGCCCATATGGTTTTTCAAGAAAATTCTACCAAACTTTCAAGGAACAGATTATGAAGTTTTTCTAGAGAAGACCCCTTGCCCAACTCTTTCTGTGAAACTAGTATGACCTCTGTAACAAGACCAGTTTAGGGTTACAAGAAAGGAAAATTACAGTCCAGTTATGCTCAGGAATATATATTGAAAAATTTTCAATATTACCACAGAAGTGCAGCAGTATATACAGATGACATAACTATCAAAATAGATGTAGAAAGAGTATTTGACAAAATTCTTTTTTTTTTTTTTTTTTTTTTTTTGAGATGGAGTCTCACTCTGTCACCCAGGCTGGAGTTCAGTGGTGCAGTCTCGGGTCACTGCAACTTCCACCTCCCAGGTTCAAGCGATTCTCCTGCCTCAGCCTCCTGAGTAGCTGGGACTACAGGTGTGTGCCACCACCCCTAGCTATTTTTTTGTATTTTAGTAGAGACAGGGGTTTCACCATGTTGGCCAGGATGGTCTCGATCTCCTGACCTCGTGATCCACCTGCCTCAGCCTCCCAAAGTCCTGGGATTGCAGGCATGAGCCACTGCGCCTGGCCTTCGATGCCCTTTATCCTTGCTTATTTTCTGCATTGTACTGGAGGACTGACCCAGCATAGTAAAAGAAGAATAAGAAATAATAGAATTCAAATACATGTTAAAATTTTTTTAAGTTTTAAAATGTTTTTAATGAACACATAACAATTGTACTATTTATAGAGTACATAGTGATGTGATACATATAATGTGTAGTGATCAAATCAGGGTAATTCACATATCCATCTCAAACATTTATCATTTCTTTGTGTTGGGAACATTCACTATCCTCCTTCTAGCTATTCAAAACTATATAATGTATTACTGTTACAGAGTTCATATATTTGAGAGCAATTCATTTCTATTGTTTATCTTCACATTTGAACAAATTGCAGACCTATCAAAATCTATAGAAAGCTACATGTAAAATCAAAATAATCTATGAATGCCTATAATTCTATTTAAGGGTGATATCTTCTTGCTTTGTGTCTAACTTTTATACGGATTCATTCTCTCTCTCTCATCCCCCTCCCCAGTGGTAATTATTTACCTATAAACTTTTAATCCTGTATATCACATACTTGAGTTATAAAGTCCTGGACACGAACACAACCCAAAGTATAACAGTTTTTTCCTGATTAGGATCATACGTAATACCTCTTTTTAACAACATTTGAAAGAATGTCAGGTGGGATGGAGGAAAGTTCTCCCCAAACTCTTTAGTTGTTTGAGTGAATCAACTTATTTATAATCAGAATAACTTTCTGTTTGTCTCTCTCTCTTTGATGCAATCATTGCTTGGGTATATAATATATGTGAAAATTTCTAGAATATTCTAGTACATTATGATATACCAATCATTTTTCATCAAAATTGAAATGGTGAACACTTTCTCAATCTTAAAGTTAGAAACTTGCTGAATATTTAAACGGTTTTACCTTTTCACACAAATGGGTTAATATCCTCCTGTTGATGGGGAGCATCACACACCAGGGCATGTTGTGGGGTAGGGGGAGTGGGGAGGGATAGCATTAGGAGATATACCTAATGTAAATGACAAGTTAATGGGTGCAGCACACCAACATGGCACATGTATACATATGTAACAAACCTGCAGATTGTGCACATGTACCCTAGAACTTAAAGTATAATAATAAAAAAAAAGAAAAAAAATATCCTCCTGTTTATGTGGTGTTAGAAAACCTGCAGTGAGCAGACACATATGGGTAGAAGTTAGATGAAAGTGTGAACAGTTCATTGTCTTTAAAGTTGGCTCCAATTATTTTCTCGTTTGGTTTTTCTCTTTATTTCCTAGGGAATGCTTAGACTTTAAAAAAAATCACCGTATGACCCATAGAGAAAAGTAATATCTAATAATGAAGTGAATGTTTTACAAAATTTTCTTGAACAAGTTTTGCCTAGGCAGTGGGACACAAAGTTGAACAAAGTGACCTATCCTTGCCTTCCAAAAGCTGCTTTCCCCCCTTGTTTCCTTTCCAGTCACAGTTGTTTCCCTCAAGGAACCCTTCACAAGACTTATTTTAATATTCCATGGAAATATTAACAGAAAATATCCTTCAGTAGTTTTAAATGATAAAATATTAAATTATCTGAAGAAAGAAAACTTATAATGGGAAGGCCTAAAGAAATGTTTCCATAATATGTTTGTTCTTGATGTATAAAAATGTATTTAGAAACTGTAGAAAATGGAAGATTCTGTCAGAGTAATAGGCTTTTCTAGCAATCAGTTATGAATTTTTCACTTCCTCAAAATTCTATACAGCATCAATTAGTTTACATAAGGAATTTGCCGATACTAAAACTACTTTTTTTAAGTAAAAGTGAAAGATATTATTGGTTCTGTTATATAATTAATGCATGAGTATTATACTTAAGCTGTACAAAATTGTATATAATGTATATTCTGATTTTCTGATACAAAGCAAAGTAATACCAGATTAGGCTGCTTGCTCAAATAGCAAAATATGCTGAAATGAAATATGGTTTGTTTGTTTATTTTTAGTAATCCAATATAAATTTGACATACTCTTAGGTGGGCATATAAATAGTTTCACTCCAACCTAATTCATGTGATTTCTTGTGTTTATTTTTTAATTGTGATAAAAGAATTAGTTTAAGAATTACATTACTTAAAACTTATCAACTTAAGTCTAAGTGTACAGTACAAAAATAGTATTACCTATATGTTCTCTGATGCTCTCGGTTGTGCAACAGATCTCTAGATCTTTTTCATCTTACAAAACTGAAATTCTGTATCCATTGAACACCACCTCCCATTTCCCTACCCCTTACTTTCCCCTGGCGAACACTACTCTACTTTCTAAGTGCCCGACTACTTTAGATACCTTATATAAATTGAATAATACAGTATAGGCATACCTTGTTTTGTTGTGCTTCACCTCTATTGTGCTACACAGACACTGCATTTTTATTTTTATTTATTTATTTTTTACAAATTTAAGGTCAGTGACAATTCTGCATCAAGCAAGCCTATTGGTGCCATTTTCCAACATATGCTCATTTGTGTCTCCATGTCACTTTTGGTAATATTGTCGCAATATTTCAAATTTTTTTGTTATTTTATCTGTTAAGGTGATCAGTGATCTTTGATGTTACTATTGTATTGTTTTGGGGCACCATGAAAGCCCCCATATAAGATGGCAGACTGAATCAGTAAGTGTGTGTGTTCTGACTGCTCCACCAACTGGCCATTCTCCCAACCCTGTCACTCTCCTCAGGCTTCCCTGTTTCCTGAGACACAACAATATTGAAGTTAGGCCAATTAATAACCCTACAGTGACCTCTAAGTGTTCAAGTGACAGGAACTGTCACATGCCTCTCATTTTAAATCAAAAGCTAGAAATGAGTAAGCTTTGTGGAGAAGACATGTTGAAAGCTGAGAAATGCTGAACACTAGGTTTCTTATACTAATTAGCCAAGTTGTAAATGCAAAGGAAAAGTTCTTGAAAAAATTAAAAGAGCTATTCCAGTGAATACATGAACGATAAGAAAGTAAAACAGTCGGCCAGGCGCGGTGGGTCACGCCTGTAATCCCGGCACTTTGGGAGGCCGAGGTGGGTGAATCACCTGAGGTTGGGAGTTCAAGACCAGCCTGACCAACGTGGAGAAACCCCATCTCTACGAAAAATACAAAATTAACCAGGTGTGGTGGCGCATGCCTGTAATCCCAGCTACTCAGGAGGCTGAGACAGGAGAATTTCTTGAACCTGGGAGGTGGAGGTTGTGGTGAGCCCAGATTGCACCATTGCACTCCAGCCTGGACAACAGGAGTGAAACTCCGTCTAAAATAAATAAATAAATAAAGTAAAACAATCTTATTGCTGATATGACAAAAGTTTGAGTGGTCTGAATAGAAGATCAAGCCAGCCACAACCTTCCTTTAAGCTAAAGCCTAATCAAGAGCAATATCCTAATTCTTAAATTCTGTGAAGGCTGAGGTAGGTGACGAAGCTGCACATTTTCTTGTTGGAAGCTAGCAGAGATTAGTTCATGAGGTTTAAGGGAAAAAAGCTACTCCTGTAACATAAAAATACAACGTGAAGCAGCAAGTGCTAATGTAGAAACTATGGCAAGTTATTGAGAAGATATAGCTAAAATCATCAATGAAGGTAGCTACACTAAAATCACAGATTTTCAATGTAGATGAAGTAGCCTTAGAAGAAGATGCCAACTAGGACTTTCATAGTTAGAGAGCGGAAGTCCATACCTGGCTTCAAAGCTTCAAAGGATAGGCTGATTCTATTTTTAGGTCTAATGCCCCTGGTAACATTAAGTGGAAACCAGTGCTAATTTACCATTCCACAAATCCTAGGGCCTTTAAGAATGATGCTAAATCTATTCTGCTTGTGCTCTATAAATTGAACAGTAAAGCATGGAGGATAGCACATCTGTTTATAGTGTGGTATGCTGAACATTTTAAGCCTACTGTTAAGACCTGCTCAGAAAAAAAAAAAAAATCCTTTCAAACTATTACTCATCATTGGTAATATACCTACTCACCTAAGAACTCTGATTGAGATGTATAAGGAGACTAATGTTGTTTTCATGCATGCTAACATAACATCCATTCTACAGCCCATGATTAAGAAATAATTTTGACTTTCAAGTTTTATTATGTGTTTTTGGGTTTTTTTGTTTTTTGTTTTGAGACAGGGTCTCCCTCTGTCTTCTACGTGGGAGTGCAGTGGTGCGACGTCAGCTCGCTGCAATCTCTGCCTCCCAGGCTTAACTGATCCTCTAGCCTCGGCTTCCCAAGTAGCTGGGACTGCAGGCATGAGCCACCACACCTGACTAATTTTTGTATTTTTTATAGAGATAGGGTTTTGCCATGTTGCCCAGGCTGGTCTCAAACACCTGAGCTCAAGCAATCTGCCAGCCTTAGCATCCCAAAGTACTGGGATTGCAGGCATGAACCACTATGCCTGGCCTTATTATTTCTTTTTAATTTTTGTTACTTTAATTTTAACTTTTACTTAGATTTTAAATTCATGTTTGTTACATGGCATATTGCATGATGCTGGGATTTGGGGTATAAATGATCCCATCCCCAGGTAGTGAGCATAGAACCCAACAGTTTTTCAACCTTTGCCCCCTCCCTCCTTGCCTCCTCTAGTAGACCCGAGTGTCTCTTGTTGCCATCTTCATGTCCATGAGTACCTAATATTTAGCCCTCACTTATAACTGAGGACATGTGGTAATTGGTTTTCTGTTCCTGTATTAATTTGCTTAGGATAATGGCCTTCAGCTGTATCCATGTTGCTGTAAAAAGACATTGTTTCATTCTTTGTTTGGCTGTGTAGTATTCCATGGTGTTTACATGCCACATTTTTGTTATCTAATCTACTATTGATGGACACCTAGGTTGATTCTCTGTCTTTGCTATTGCGAATAGCACTATGATGAACATACAAGTGCATGTGCCTTTTTGGTAGAATGATTTATTTTATTTTGAATATATACCTAATAATGGGATTGCTGGGTTGAATAGTAGTTCTGTTTTAAGTTCTTTGAGAAATCTTCAAATTGCTCTCCATAATGGCTGAACTAATTTACATTGCCAGAAGCAACGTATAAACATTCCCTTTTCTCTGCAGCCTCGTCAGCATCTGTGGGTTTTTTGGGTTTTTTTTTGTTTGGTTTTTTGTTTTTGAGACAGAGTCTCGCTCTGTTGCCCAGGCTGGAATGCAGTGGCGTGATCTTGGCTTACTGCAATCTGTACTTCCCAGGTTCAAGCAAGTCTCCTGCCTCAGCTTCCCAAGTAGCTGAGATCACAGGTGCCCACCACCATGCCCAGCTAATTTTTGTACTTTTAGTAGAGACAGGGTTTCACCAGGTTGGCCATGCTTGTCTCAAACTCCTGACCTCAGGTGATCCGCCTGCCTCAGCCTCCCAAAGTGCTGGGATTATAGGTGTGAGCCACCGCACCCAGCCTGTGGTGTGTTTTTTTTTTTTTTTTTTGGTTTGTTTGTTTGTTTTGACTCTTTTATAATAGCTATTCTGACTGTTATCTCATTGTGGTTTTGATTTGCATTTCTCTAATGATCGAATGTTGAGTATTTTTTCATATGTTTGTTGGCTCCTTGTATGTCTTCTTTTGAGAAGTACCTGTTCATGTCTTTTGTCCACTTTTTAATGAGATTATTTGTTTTTTGACTGTTGAATTAAGTTCCTTACAGATTCTGGATATTAGACCTTTGTTGGATGCATAGTTTGTGAATATTTCCTTCTATAGTGTGGGTTGTTGGTTTACTCTTTTGATAGCTTCTTTTACAAAGCAGCTCTTAAGCCTAATTAGGCCTCACTTTGTCAATGTTTTTGTTGCAATTGCTTTTGAAGACTTTGTCATAAATTTTTTCCCAAGGCGAATGTCCAGAATGGTATATCCTAGGTTTTCTTTTAGAATTTTTATAGTTTGTGGTCCTACATTTAAATCTTCAATCCACCTTAGTTAAGTTTTGCATATAATAAAAGGTAGGGATCCAGTTTTATTCTTCTGCCTATGGCTTACCAGTTATCCCAGGACCATTTATTGAATAAGAAGTCGTTTCTCCATTGCTTATTTTTGTAGACTTTTGTATTTTATTTTTGTCAGATGGCTGTAGGTGTGAGGCTTTATATCTGAGTTCTCCATTCTGTTCCATTGGTCTGTATGTTTTTGTACCAGTACCATGCTGTTTTGCTTACCATAGCCTTGTACTATAGTTTGATGTTGAATAATGTAATGTCTTCAGCTTTGTTCTTTTTGCTTAGGATGCTTTAACTATTCAGGCTCTTTTTTTTTGGTTCCATATGAATTTTAGAATACTTTTTTCTAATTTTGTGAAAAATGAAATTGGTAGTTTGATAGGAATAGTGTTGAGTCTGTAGATTACTTTGGGCAGTATGATCATTTAAATGATATTGATTCTTTCAGTCCATGAGCATGGAAAGTTTTTCCATTTGTTTGTGTCATCTATGATTTCTTTCAGCAGCATTTTGTATATCTTATGGAGATCTTTGACTTTCATGGTTAGATGTATTCCTAGGTATTTCATTTTTTGTGTGTGGCTATTGTAAATGGGATTACATTCTTCATTTGGCTCTCAGCTTGGACATTATTGTCGTATAGAAATGCTACTGATTTTTATACATTGGTTTTGTTTCCTGAAACTTTGCTATAATCACTTGTCAGTTCCTGGACCTTATGGTGTAATCTTTAGGATTTTTTAGTTACAGGATTATATTGTCAGAGAAGGCATAATTTTGACATCCTGTTTTCCAAATTGGATGCTATTTTTTCTTTCTCTTACCTGATTGTTCTGGCTAGCACTTCAACTACTATATTGAATAGGAGTTGTGAGAGTGGGCATCCTTGTCTTGTTCCTGTTCTCAAGGGGAATGCTTCCAGAATTTTTCCATTCAGTATGATGTTGGCTGAAGGTTTGTCATAGATGGCTCTTATTGTTTTGAGGTATGTTCCTTTGATACCCAGTTTCTTGAAGATTTTTATGAAGGATATTAGATTTCATTGAAAGCTTTTGTCTGCATCTATTGAGATGATCATATGGTTTTTGTTTTTAATTCTGTTTATATGTTTAATCACATTTATTGATTTACATATGTTGAAACAACCTTGCATCCCAGGAATGAAGCCAACTCGATCATGGTGAATTAACTTTTTGATGTGCTGTTGGATTCCATTTGCTAGTATTTTGTTGGGAATTTTTACATCTATGTTTATCAGCAATGTTGTCTGGTGGTTTTCTTTTGTCATTTTGCCTTTGCCACATTTTGATATCAGGGTGATGCTGGCATCATATTATGAGTTAGGGAGGAGTCCCTCAATTTTTTTTAGGGGGATTGGGGGAGAATAGTTTCAGTAGTATTGGTGCCAGCCCTTTTTTATGTCTGGTAGAATTCTGCTGTGAATCAGTTTGGCCCAGGGCTGTTTTTTGCTTGGTAGATTTTATTATTGATTCAGTTACAAAACTTGATATTGGTCTGTTCAGGGTTCCAGTTTCTTCCTGATTTGATCTTGGGAGATTGTGTGTTTCCAAGAATTTATTCATTTCCTCTAGATTTTCTAGTTTGTACGCATAGAGATGTTCCTAATAGTCTCTGAGGAGCTTTTGTATTTCTGTGGGATCGGTTGTAATGTTGCCTTTGTCATTTCTGATTGTGCTCATTTGGATCTTCTTTTTTTTCTTTGTTAATCTAGCTAGTGGTCTATCAGCCTTGTTTATTACTCTTTCAAAGAACCAATTTTTGGTTTTATTAATTCTTTGTCTGGATTTTTGGGCCTCAATTTTGTTCAGTTCCACTCTGATTTTAGTTATTTCTTTTCTTCTGCTAGCTTTAGGGTTAGTTAGTTTCTTTGTTCTCGGTTTTTCTAGCTCCTCTATGTGTGATGTTAAATGATTAATGAGAGATCTTTCTGACTTTTTGAGGTAGGTATTTGGCACTTAAAACTTTCCTCTTAACACTGCTTTTGCTGCATCACAGAGATTTCGGTATGTTATCTCTTTTCATTTTTTTCAAAGAATTTTTTTATTTCTGACAATTTCACTGCTTGCCCAAAAGTCATTCAGAGACATGTTGTTTAATTTCCATGTAATTGTGTGAGTGTTGGGAGATCTTCTTGGTATCAATTTCTGTTTTATTCCACTGTGGTCCAAGATTATGATGGGTATTTCAATTTATTTTTAATTTATTGAGACTTGCTTTATGGCATAGCATGTGATGAATCTTGGAGTTTGTTCTGGGTGCAGATGGGAACATATATACTGTAGTTGATGGGTGGAGTATCCTGTAGATATCTATTAGGTCCAGTTAGTTAAGTGCTGAACTTAAGTCCAGAATTTCTTTGTTAGTTTTCTACCTCCATGATCTATGGAATGCTCTCAGTGGGGTATTGAAGCCCCCCACTATAATTTTGTGGCTGTCTATATATGTTTTGCAGGTCTCTGAGAACTTGTTTTATGAATCCATGTGCCCCAATGTTGGGTGGATGTATATTTAGTATAGTTAAGTCTTTTTGTTGAATTGAGCACTTTATCACCATATAATGCCTTTCTTTATCGTTTTTTACTGTTGTTGGATTAAAGTCTGTTTTATCTGACCTAAGAACAGTGACCTCTGCTCTTTTTTATTTTCCATTTGTGTGATCTTTCTCCAACCCTTTACTTTGAGCTGATAGGTGTTACTGCATGTGAGATCAGTCTCTTGAAGATAGCAGATAGATGAATCTTGTTTGTTTTACCCAATTTGCAATTCTGTGTCTTTTACCTGGAGCATTTAGGGTATTTACATTCAAGGTTTATATTGATAGCTGAGGTTTTGAGCTTATTATGAAGTTGTTAGCTGGTTGCTTTGTAGTTTCTATTGTGTGGATGATTTGTAGGATGTGTTGGCCATGTAAAGTGTGTGTGTTTTTGTAGTAACAGGTATCATTCTTTCATTTCCATGGTTAGAACTCCCTTAAGGATCTCTTGTTGAGTATCTGTTCTTATGCTTGTTAGCCATTTTAATATCATCTTTGGAGAAAAATCTATTAAAGTCTTTTGTCTATTTTAAATCACGTTATTTTTGGCTGTTACTATATATTCTAGATATTAACTTATTGTCCATTATATGGCTAGCAAATATTTTATCCCATTCTGTAGGTTGCTTTTACTCTCTGTTGTTTCCTCTACTGCATAGAAATCTTCAAGTTTGATGTAGTGTAATTTGTTTATTTTTGCTTTTGGTATCATATATAAGTAATTGCCAAATCCAGTGTCATGGAGCTTTTCCTTATTTTGGTCTAGGAGCTATAGCTTTAGGTCTTATGTTTAAGTCTAATCTTTTAAGTTAATTTTTATGTATGGTATAAGGTAAGAATTCAGCTTCTTTCCTTTGCATGTGTATGTATATCTAGTTTTCCCAGTAGCATTTATTGAAGAGGCTATTCTTTCCCCATTTTGTAGCCTTGGTGTACTTGTCAAAGATCATATGGCCATGTACTTGAGGGTTTATTTCTGGGCTATCTATTCTATGTCATTGGCCTATATGTCTTGTTTCATACCGGTACCATACTGTTTTGATTATGGAAGCTTTGTAATATATTTTGAAGTCAGAATGTATGAGACCACTAGTTTTGTTTTCCTTCTCAAAAAAGATATTTGAGGTCCTTGAGACTTCATGTGAATTTTAGGATTTTTTTTTCTTATTTCTACTAAAAATGCCATTGAGATTTCTTCAGCACAAAAATTGATTTCCTTTTATTGAAGAAAAATGTAGTTGTGGACAAAAATGTGGGTTTTTGTTGATGGCAGCCCATTGTTCAGTGCATTATGGTAACATTATGCAGCTTTAATGCTGAAGTGGAATACCTCTCAATTCTGAGGATACTGGTTTTGATCCTGTTTTTAAAAATTGATACATAATTTCTGTACATATTCATGGGGTACTTATGATATTTTCTTTCATGCATAGAATGTAATGATCAAGTTAGGGTATTTAGGGTATTCATCTCCTCAGGTACCTATTTCCATGTGGGAACATCTCAAGTCCTGTCTTCAAGCTATTTTGTAATAAAAAATACATTGTTGTTAACTATAGCCACCTTACTCTGCTATTGAACATTAGAACTTATTTCTTCTAACTGTATGTTTTTAGCCATTTACCAACCCCCACTTTCTCCCCCACCCAAAACACACACCCCTTCCCAGCCTCTTTGATATCTATCCTTCTTCTCTCTCCCTCCATGAGATCAAAATTTTAAGCTCCCATATATGCCATATATGAGTAAAAATGTGCAATCTTTTGTCTTTCTGTGCTTGGCCTGTTTCACTTAATGACTTGCAGTTCCATCAGCATTGCTGCAGATGTCCAGATTTCATTCTCTTTTTGTGGCCAAGTAGTATTCCATTGTGTATATGTGTCATGTTTTCTTTATCCATTCATCCTTCAATGGACGCTTAGGTTGATTTCATATCTTCGCTTTTGCAAATAGTGGTACAATAAATATAAACCCCTTTGATACACTATATCCTTTTCTTTAGATAAATACCCAGTAATGTGATTGCTGAAGTATATGATAGTTCTCTTTTTAGTTTTTTGAGAAATCTCTGTACTATTTTCCATAGTGGCTACACTAATTTACCTTTCCACCAACAATGCGTAAGTGTTCCTTTTTCCCTGCATCCTCACCAGTATGTGTTATTTTTTGTTTTTTTAATAGTAGTCATTCTAACTGGGGTAAGGTCATATCTCGTTGTGGTTTTGATTTGCATTTCCCTGATGATTAGTGATGTTGACAATTTTTTAATGTACCTCTTGTCCATTTGTATGTCTTCTCTTGAGAAATGTCTATTCCAGTCCTTTGCCCACTTTTTAATGGGATTATTTGTTTCTTACTGTTGAATTGACTGAGTTCTTTCTATGTTCTGGATATTTGTCCTTCTGGCTCCCAGGCGGTCTGCACTGGTCTTGGCTGTGGCTGCAATGAGCTGGCTGGGTCATTCCCCAGGCCCACAGGTGGCATATGCAAGTGAGTGACTGCTGTGGTAGTAGCGGTAGCCTGGGTTATTTGAGAACCTGCTGTACATCATTTTGTTTAAAATTACAATTCAAAAACCCTGTCAGTGACTTTAATTGAGGAATGTTGTGAACTCATAAATTGATTTAAAAATTTTTTATTTTGTAATAGATATACATATTTTCAGGTATATGTGTTAATTTGTTACATTCATATAATGTGTAAAGATCAAATCAAGGTAATTGGGATATCCATCACCTTAAGTATATATTTTATTTATGAATTTGAATTATTCTCTTCCAGCCATTTTGAAATGTACAATAGATTATTGTTAACTGTCATCACCCTGCTGATCTATCGAACTCTGGGTCTTATTTCTTCTATCTAACTGTATATTTGTAGTCATCAATCAGCCCCTTTGTGTCTCTCTCTCCTCGATTTTTTCCAGCATCTGGTAACCACCAGTCTACTCACTATCTTCATGAGATCCACATTTCTAGCTCACACATAGTGTAAGAATATGCAATATTTCTGTTTCTGTGCTTGGTGTATTTCACTTTTCATACAGTTTCAGCCATGTTGCTGCAAATGAAAGGATTTCACTCTTTTTTATAACTGAATAATATTCTACTGGGTATATATGCCACATTTTATTTATCCCTTGATGGACAATTAGGTTGATTTCATACTTTGGCTATTGTGAATAGTGCTTCATTAAACAAGGGAGTACAGATATCTTTTTGATATATTTTATTTCTTTCTTTTGGATGATCTGGCCATTACTGAGAGTGGGGTTTTGAAGTTCTCTACTATTATTGTGTTGCTATCTATCTCTCCTTTTAGATACGTTAACGTTTTCTTTATATACTTGGATGTTTCAATATTGGGTGCATACATATTTATAATTGTTATATATCTTTTTGCCAAATTGACCCCTTTCTCATTATGTAGTGATCTTTGTCCTTTTTATAGTCTTTGGCTTGTAGTCTCTTTTATCTGATATAAGTATAGTTTTTCCTGCTCTTTTTGGTTTCCAGTTGCATAGAATATCTTTTTGCATCCCTTTACATTCAGTTCATGTGTGTCTTTGTAGGTGAAGTAGGTTTCTTGCAGGCAGTGTATAGTTGAGTCTTGTTTCTTGATCCATTCAGCTACTCTGTGTCTTTTATTATAATTGTACAATTGAATCCATTTACATTCGCTGTTATTACTAATAAGTAAGAACTCACTACTGCCATTTTGTTGTTTATTTCTGGTTTTGTAATTCCTCTTCCTTTTTCCCTTTCTTACTGTATTTTGTTAGCGCTTAAGTAATTTTTGTCTGATAGTATGTTTTAATTTGTTGCTTTTTATTTTTAGTAAATGTTTTAGGGACTTTTGAATCATTATTATGAGGCTTACAAAAAACATAAGTTGTTTTGTTTTATTTTATTACTTTTTGAGATGAAGTCTTGCTCTGTAGCCCAGGCTGGAGTGCAGTGGTGCGATGTCAGCTCACCGCAACCTCCACTTCCCGGGTTCAAGTGATTCTCCTGCCTCAGCCTCCTGAGTAGCTGGGATTACAGGTGCACACCACTGCACCCAGCTATTTTTTGTATTTTTAGTAGAGGCAGGGTTTCACCATCTTGGCCAGGCTGGTCTTGAACATAAGTTATTTTAAAGAGATGACAACTTAGATGACAAAAGATACAAAGAAAGAAAAAACTTTAAAAACTTTACATTTTAACTCCATTCTCCTACATTCTGACTTTTTGTTTGGTCAATTTACTTTTTTTCACTGAGAAAACACCTGTGAATCAATTTACATATTTTTGTGTTGCCTATAAATATAAAACATGTCAATCTTTAAATATCAATATGATATATCTAACAGATTGCTATAGCTATTATTGTTTTTCATAGATGTGTCATGCTAGAGTTATGAGTGGATCACACAGCACAGTTACAGTATTAGAGTATTCTGGTTTTGTTTGCGTACTTAATTTTAACGGTGGGTTTTATACCTTCAGATGTTTTTGTTTATTTGCATATTACTGTTTTTTTTTTTCTTTCAGAATTTTAAGAACTCCATTTAGTATCTCTTGTAAGACAGGTCTGATGGTGGTGAATCCTTTCAACTTCTGTCTTCTTCCTTTTTGAAGCATAGCTTTGTTGAATACAGTATTTTGGATAGCATTTTTTTTTTCACTTTGAAAATGTTATCCCACTCTCTCCTCGCCTGTGTGGTTACCATTGAGAAGTCTGTTGCCAGACCAATTGTAGCGCTCCTTTATATAGTACTGGTTTCTTTTGCTGCTTTTAGGATCTTCTCTTTCTCCTTGGCCTTTGAGATTTTAATTATTATATGCCTTGGGGTAGTTTTATTTGGTTGTAATCTGTTTGATTTTTTTCAACCTTCCTGTAACTGGATATTCATAGCTTTCTCAAATTTTGGAAGTTTTTTTTATAATCTTCAAGCTTGGAACACTTCTGTAAGATCAACTTCTTTAGCTTCTGCTTATGAGTGGAAACATGCAGCATTTATCTTTTTGTTCCTGGCTTATCTTACTTAACATAATGTCCTCCAGCCTCATTCATGTTACCTTGAATGACAGGATTTCATTCTTTTTATGGCTGAATAGTATTCTATAGTGTGGATATACCACATTTTCTTAATCCGTTTCTCTGTAGATACTTAGGTTGATTCCGTAGCTTGACCAGTGCTGCAGTAAACATGAGAATGAAGATACCTCTTTGACATACTGATTTCCTTTCCTTTGGATATATACCTAGTGCTGGGATTGCAGGAATTTTCAAAATACTAGTAAACCATGCATTCTTAACTGGGGGCAATATTGACCCCAAGAGAGAGAAAATAGTTCTCATTTTTCTTTCTTAGTTTCTCTTATTAGGGAGAAACTAAACCTTATTAATCAACCTTTAACACCATTATTTGACAGTGATCTCTAGGTAAGTATGAGATTAGGCATTAGGCATTTGGGTTTAAAGAGGAACTTTTACTTTTTACTCTATGTATGTTAGTATTGAAATTTTTACATCCAGAATTTACTGTTCTAGTTAGCATTAACATTTAGATTATCTCTATTGCTCCTCCAAAAAATTTAAAAGAATAATAGAAACATCATATTTAATCCTTTCATCCAGAGACAACACCTGTTACTATTTTGTAAAAAGTCTTTGTGTTTATCTGTATTTATTTTAATAAATGCTATCTGTTCTACCTTCAAAATGTATTTAAAATCTGACTACTTTTCACTATCTTTGACTGCCTCATTAATCTAAGCTCTTATTTTATAAAACAAAAAGTTGATTGCATTATAAATATTTTTTTCTCTCTGAACAGTGTACATGTAAAAGCTAATATTTTGATTTTATTGGAAATTCTTTGGGTTTCTTATTTTGCTCTGTAGTGTGTGTATAGGGTTGTACATGTATAGGGTTTCTTACTTTGCTCTGTGGTGTTCATCTTGAAGTTCCTATTTAATTTCCATAGCTTTCTTCTTTGTAATGAGACAGCAAAATGTTTCCCCTCGAAGGCTATTTTTCAACAAAGAGAAATTTTTATTTGCCTTATTTTATTTGCTTTGCCAGGATCCCTCTGCTTTGAATCCAGAAAATGATTAAGAACTAATTTAAAATTAATATATTCTTGATTTCTTTGATCAAATCGGCAGGCTTCCTTATTCACAACATGATTTATCCGCAGAGATCTCTGGCATAGACCTTTTGCTAAGTTTTTTGCACTGTACTTCCTTTGATCTTAATTTAGCTCCCTCTGCTTCTCTCTGACTTCCTCTTAGTAAGCACACTGACTTAGAAACAATTTATCAAGGACCAAAAAAATTGTATTGCTTATCCTTACCTCCCCCTTTTGCCTCAAAGGTGTCTGCTTCTTTTTCAGGCTTAGTTTTCACTTTTGTTTTTTGATTCCACATCATCCCGTCTTGGTTTTCTCCGGTATCAACTTCTTTCCTCCTTCCTTCTTTTCAGTGTTTTACCATCTAAATATTTTTTTAAAACAACAGAAACCTGAGTCCTTTATTTTCTTCTAAACACTTTTTTCCTTCACACTCAGGTTTCAGTAAGCTACCTGGTATCTCTACTTCCCTGCTTCTCTTTTGCCCCACACCCTTGATGTCAAGGTTTCACTCTACTGAAACCTTGTTGGTCAGTGCACCTTAGTGACCCAGATGCCAAATCCTTCTGCCCACTTCTCAGACCATGTTTACTTCACTCCTCTGAGGTGATTGACCACTTCTTCTTAAATCTCTCCTCCCTCAGGTATTCCCACTCTTCAGAATTCCTTTATTGATTCCTCCTCCTCTTCATCCCCTTCCTTTTAAAATATTTATAAAATTTCAAACATATACCAAACTATAGAACCCAAGTATAGGACAGTGAATACCTATGTACCTGCCATCCAGTTTCAGTGATTATTAACTTATGCTCAATCTTTATTTTATAATCATCTCCACCCACTCCTCTCTCTCCACTCTGAATCATTTCTTCCACCAACTTTTAATTGATTTATTCCCTGTGGCCCACCCTCAACATTGTTTTCTTCCCATGCCACATGCAATATATGGAAAAGCTCGCACAGGCTAATAGTTTCTACCACCTCTAAATGCTGATAACACTTAAATCTATTTTTTTAGCATAGATCTTGCTGAAAAGCAGTCAGTGGCCAGGTGTGGTGGCTCATGCCTGTAATCCCAGTACTTTCAGAGGCCAAGGCGGGCGATCACATGAGGTCAGGAGTTCGAGACCATCCTGGCCAACATGGCGAAACCGCATCTCTACTAAAAATACAAAAATTATCTGGGCGTGGTAGCAGGTGCCTGTAATCCCAGCTACTCAGGAGGCTGAGGCACGGGAATCATTTATCATTTGGACCCTGGAGGCAGAGGCTGCAGTGAGCCGAGATCGTGCCACTGTACTCCAGCCTGGGTAACAGAGTGGGACTCCATCTCAAAAAAAAAAAAAAAAAAAAGAGGCAAGCAGGGTCATCTCCACTTGGATGCCCCACAGGTTCCAGAAGCATAAGTTTAAAAGAGCACATCTTTCTTTGCCCACCTGCTGCTTCTTCTTAAATTCTATTTTGGTTGCATAATCTTCATCCTCCTAGTTCTTCATAAATATATTTAGTCCTAGTTATTAATAAATACATCTTCTGGCCCATCAAGTTGTATCAGTTTTCCTGCTGCCCACTCTTACTCTACTACTCTGGCCATAGAAAGGTACCTTTTGCCTAGATTTTTTCAGTAAATTCCTAACTGATCTTTTTGCCTGTAGACTTGATAACACCCCGCACACTATTCATCTTCCACATTATTATCAGAGTGATTTTCTTTTTCTTTTTTTTTGAGATGGAGTCTTGCTCTGTCGCCCAGTCTGGAGTGCAGTGCTGTGATCTCGGCTCACTGCAAGCTCCGCCTCCCGGGTTCACGCCATTCTCCTGCCTCAGCCTCCTGAGTAGCTGGGACTATAGGCACCCGCCACCACGCCTGGCTAATTTTTTTGTATTTTTAGTAGAGATGGTGTTTCATAATGGTAGCCAGGATGGTCCCGATCTCCTGACCTCGTGATCTCGGCCTCCCAAAGTGCTGGGATTACAGGCGTGAGCCACCGTGCCCAGCCCAGAATGATTTTCTTATAGCACAGCTTGATCATGGTATTATCTTATTAAAACTCTCAAGCGGTTCACTATTATATCTATGATGAATGTAGACATACCTTGATCTGATCCTTGTCTTACTTTCCATTCTTATGTCCTCCCTCTTTGCTGAATGCTCACTTTTTATTCAGAGGATAGAAAACACTTTTTCACATCTCTGTGTACCATTAGCTGGGTGTGGTGGCACGCACCTGTAGTCCCAACTACTCAGGAGGCCTAGACAGGAGAATCGCTTGAACCCGGAAGGCGGAGGTTACAGTGAGCTGAGATCGCACCACTGCACTCCAGCCTGGGCAACAGGGTGAGACTCTGTCTCAAAAAAAAAAAAAAAAAGGGATCTAGCTCAAGAGATCCTGATTCTTCATAACAAAATAAATCCCATGAAAATATTATTTCTACTATTTACATGAGGAAATCAAAAGCTCAGAAAGATGAAGTCACCTTTCTAGAGTCACAGCACAAGTGGTAGACCTTGGATTTAAGTCAAGGTTATTTGACTTCAAAACCCATACTCTTTTCACTATACTCAGCACAATAAAGTTAGCATGAAAATTTGGACCTTATTCAATGTGCAGTAAGAAGCTGTCAAATATATTTGAGCCAGGAAATCCATGGTCAATTTGGTGTTATAAAGAGAAAAACTAAAGAATATATGCTTTGAAAGCTGTTTTGTTTAAGTATTAATTATTCTAAGTTTCTCTGTATACATTTAATTATGTTGAAATCAATGGCTAAAGCAAAGGCCAAGCCATAATTCTAAATAATAGATTTATCTTTAAAAAGTTCTGACATTTTTGTATATTTTACTTTTGTTCTATTTATATGTAATAATATGTGTCTGTTTAGTTTTATTATCAGCTTATGTGGCCTCAGCCAAAAGTCCAAATTTCATTGTTTCTTAAAGTTAGAATTATACTGTTTGTATTTATAACCAAGAAACAAGGTCAGAAAGATACTTTAAATTACAAATGTTTCCCTGAATTGATCTGATAACGTGATTCCATTTAACTTAATGTAAGACATACTGGGAGTCAGTTATAAATAGATCATTGTCAAATATCCTTCCAGTTCAAATCTACCTGAATTATTCAAAATGTAGTTCAATTAATTTTGTTTCAAAATGTTTAGAAGCAAATATGTAACAGGCTGACTTGACTTGAAACAAGCACAGTGATTTTTATATAGCTTCATATTTTCTTTATGCAGGAAATTATATTTATGTGATGTAGTTTTGACAATAAAATTTTGTTTTTGTTTTCTTAAAGACAGGGTCTTATTCTGTCATCCAGGCTGGATTGCAGTGATGTGATCCTGGCTCACTGCAGCCTTGAACTCCTGAGCTAAAGCAGTCTCCTGCCTCAGCCTCCAAAGTAGCTGAGACCACAGGCACATGCTCCCACACTCAGCTAATTTTTTAAATTTTTGTGTAGAAACGGGGGGGGTCTCGCTGTTGCCAAGGATGGTCTTGAACTCCTGGCCTCAAGCGATCCTCCCACCTTGGCCTCCCAAAGTGTTGGAATTACAGGTATGAGCCACTGCACATGGCAATAACATTTCTGACTACCGTTTGATAATTAAAATTAACATTCTATCTTTTTATATTTTGGTAGGAGATATAGATTTACTATTATATAGTATAGTATATGTACATATACTATTATATATGTGTATATATAGGGATACATCATACATACACAGCATATACATATCTGTATAAATAGATGGGTATATAGATATAGAAAATCATTGCTTTAACATACTATCTTACCCCAAATCCACCTTTTTATTATTATCTTCTATACTTTCCCATTCCCTCTGAATCTACTTTATATCTCTTTATGTCTCCCAAGGACTTTTCACATCCTTTCTTGTTCCAACAGCTATGTGTCCTTCTTAGTACATCTCTTTAGTAGCTGCCTCTAGCTGTTAATTTAGACCAGTCCTTGGGATGGATTGATTGATTTATTCAACAATTGTATTAGGATATCAGGGTTCTTCAGAGAAACAAAAGCAACAGGAAATGTTATATATTTGTATGTAGAAAATAAGGAATTGGCCAATGGGATTATGGACACAAGTCTGTAGATCTGTAGATCTGTAGTTGGCAAGCTGGAAAGCCAATGATGTAGTCCCAGTCCAAAGGCCTGCAGGCTCAGACCTAGAAAAAGCTGGCGTTTCAGTGGTGGCGTGTGCCTGTAGTCCCAGGTACTCAGGAAGCTGAGGCAGGAGAATCGCTTGAGCCCGGGAGGCGGAGGTTGCAATGAGCCAAGATCACACCACTGCACTCCAGCCTGGGCGACAGAGCGAGACTCCGTCTTAAAATAATAATAATAAAAACATAATAAAATAATAAAAATAAAATAAATTGTTTTCTGTTTCCAAAAAGTTTCCTTAAAAATATTTCTACTATTGTTTTAACTAGTGAAATTTCTTAAGAGTTTTATGGGGGAAAGAATCTCAGGCTATGATAATTGTACTAAAATGTGTATTAGAATAACTTTTTTAAATAAGGGAAGTAACTAATTCATTTTCCCTGTCCCCCATCTCTTGGCAATTACCATTATTCTTTCTGCTTCTAAGAGTTTGACTATTTTAGCTACTTCATATAAGTAGAATCTTGCAGCATTTATCTTTTTGTGACTGGCTTGTTTCACTTAGTGTAACATCTTCAAGGTTCATTCATATTGTAGCATATGATAGGATTTCTTTCTTTTTTAAGACTGAAGAGTGTTCTATTGTAAGTACAGTCATACACCACATAATGACATTTCAGTCAATGACAGGCTGCACATACAACTGTGGCCTCATAAGACTGTAGTACTGTATATTTGCTGTGTCTTTTTGATGTTTAGATACACAAATGTACTATTGTGTTACAATTACCTACAGTATTCATTACAATGACATGTACAAGTTTGTAGCCCAGGAGTGATAGGCTATCACATAAAGCCTGCTTGTGTAGTAGGCTATCCCTTCTAGGTTTGTGTAAGTACATTCTGTGATTTTTGCACAATGACAGAATTGCCTGAGGCATTTCTCAGGCACATTCCTATCATTCAGAAATGCATGACTGAATGAATATACTACATTTTCTTTATCCATTCATTCTTTGATAGACATTTGGGTTGTTATCATCTCTTGGCTTTTATGAATAATGCTGCAGTAAACATGAGTATTCAAATAAATCTTCAAGATCCTGCTTTCAGCTCTTTTACTTATATACCCAGAAGTGGAATTGCTGGATCATATGGTAATTTTGAGCAACCTCCCTAATGTTTTCCATAGTGGCTACACTATTTTACATTTCTACCAACAGTGCACAAAATTTCCAGTTTCTCCACATCCTCGCTGAGACTTGTTATTTACCAGTTTTTTATAGTAGCCATCCTAATGGATGTGAGATGACATCTCAGTATGGTTTTGATTTGCATTTCCATGATAATTAGTGATATTGAGCATCTTTTCATGTGCTTGTTGGCCAGCCATTTATTTATTTGCTTTGGAGAAGTGTCTACTCAAGTCCTTTGCCTGTTTTTTAATCATGGTATTTGTTTTTTTAATTGTTGAATTGTCAGAGCCATTTATATATTCTGAATATTAACTCCTTATTAGATATATGGTTAGCAAATGTTTTCCCCCATTCTGTAGGTTGCCTTTTTACTCTATTGATTGTTTCCTTTCCTGCACAGAAAATCTCAAGTTAGGTATAGTCCAGTTTGTCTATTTCTGCTTTTGTTGCCTGTGTTCATGGTGTCCTATACAAGAATTATTGCCAAATCCAGTGTCACAGAGCTTTTCTCCTATGTTTTTTTTCTAGGAGTTATAATTTCAGGTCTTAGGTTTAGGTCCTTAATCCATTTTGAGTTAGTTTTTATACATGGTATGAGGTAAAGTTTCAACTTTATTCTTTTGCATGCGTATATCCAGTTTTCCCAGCAGCATTTATTGAAGAGACTGTCCTTTTCCTATTGTGTAGCCTTGGCACCCTTGTTCAAGATTGTATGACTGTATACTTGATCGTTTATTTTTTTGTCTCTCTACTCCATTGGTCCCTATGTCTGTCTTTATGCTGGTACCATACTGTTTTGATTCCTGAAGCTTGGTAATATGGTTTTTTCCATTTGGATGGGTTTTATTTGGGTTTTTAGAGATAGGATCTCCCTTTGTTGCCCAGGCTGGCTGCAAACACCTAGGCTCAAGCAATTCTCCCACCTCATCCTCCAAGTAGCTGAGACTACAGGTGTGTTCCACTGCACCTGGCTCTGTAATATGTCTTGAAGTCAGGAAGTCTGAGGCCTCTAGCTTTGTTTGTTTGTTTTTTCCCTCAAGAAAGATATTTGGATATTTGGGATCCCTGGAGATTCTCTATTAATTTTAGTATTTTTTTATTTCTGCAAAAATGCCATTGAGATTTTGAGAATCTGCAGATCATTTGGGGAGTATGGACATTTTAACATTATTAGGTCTTCCAACCCATAACACAGTATGCTTTCCATTTACTTGTGTCTTCTTTAATTTCTTTCAACCATATCGTGTAGTTTTCAGTATACAAGTTTTTTACCTTCTTGAATAAGTTTATTCTTAAGTATTCTTTTGGATACTGTTATAAAAGTAGGGTAGTTTTCTTCATTTTTTTCTGGCTATTTCATTGTTAGTTTGTAGAAACACACTAATTTTTATGTGTTGATTTTGTAGGCTACAACTTGGCTGAATTCAGTTATTATTTTAACAGGCCTTTTTGAGGAGTCTAGGATTATCTACATACAAGATCATATCATCTAGAAACAGATATAATTTTACTTCTTCCATTCCAATTTGGATGCTTTTTATTTCTTTTTCTTGCTTGGTCCTTCTGGCAGGACTCCTAGTACTATATTGTATAGAAGTGGTAAGAGTGGGCATCCTGGCCTTGTTCCTGATCTTAGAGGGAAAGCTTTCTGTTTCGCACCATGGAGTAGGATGTTAGCTGCAGATTTTTCTTATGTGGCCCTTATTATGTTGATGTAATTTCCTTCGAGTCCTAGTTTGTTGAGTGTTTTTATCATCAGATGGTGTTAAATTTTGTTTAATGCTTTTTCTGCATTAATTGAGACGACCATGTGGTTTTAGTCCTTCATTCTGTTAATGTGGTATATTATACTTCCTTAACATGATGAAAAGCATCTACTTTAAACTAAGATATGCAAGACATAATACATAAAATCTTAGGAATCTGAATGTATTTTCTGATCGTTGCATAAGAAATCAACAATGATTTGATTTGCCTTGTTTATGATTAACAGTTCTTGAGTAAATTTACAACCATAAGACTTATTTTAAAAAGGAACAATTAATGAAAATGGAAGTGTACACAGGTATAAAAGTCACAAATCAGTATTTTTCATTGGTCATTTTGTTCACTTGTCCAAAATTATAATTTTATTTTTGGGACTGTAGCAATATTTTAACATTAGAGATATTTTATTTTATTTTTACTCTTACTTTTTTGTTTGTTTGTTTGCTTCTTGAGACTGAGTTTTGGTCTGTTGCCCAGGCTGAAGTGCAGTGGCGCAATCTTGGCTCACTGCAACCTCGGCCTCCTGGGTTTAAGTGATTCTCCTGCCTCAGTCTCCCTAGTAGCTGGGATTACAGGCATGCGCCACCACACCTGGCTAATTTTTGTATTTTTAGTAGAGACAGGGTTTCACCATGTTGGCAAGGCTGGTCTCAAACTCCTGACCTCTGGTAATCCATCCGCCTTGGCCTCCCAAAGTGCTGGGATTACAGTTGTGAGCCACTGTGCCCAGTCTTAAAATATTACTTTGAACCATATGAAGTTGGCATTTCTGGCTGCAAAAATAGTAGAATATTGGCAGTATTATATTGTATACCACACATGTGGATGTATCTTAAAGTATTTGGCAAAATTTCTAAGAGTGTGATTCTATTTTAACAGTGTTAAAGTTCTTTGTCTTTCTTTAACAAATGATACTTTAATTAATATTTGTCTTTTCTTTATAGTGCTTACTTTTTAAAACATATATTCAAAGTTGAAAGTATCATGCTAAACTGAGTAGTAGCAATTCCTTTGAGTTTTTTTAAAACTATATCTAGGCTTCAGCCATTCTCTTTTGTAATAGTGAATTATTTCTTGTTAGTTATCCTAACAAGCATGTTGTAAGCAGGCTTTTGTCTATCATTTTGTTATAGTCACACAAATTGCCCTCCGTATTTAAAAAATGATGATGAGAGTAATAATTTATGTAATAATAATAGCTAACATTCATTGAGTTTATTGTATTTCAGGCATTGTCCCAAGACTTTTATTAATTTGTTTAATCCTCATAATTATCCTGCAATGTTATCACCATTTTTCATATGAAGAACAAAGGCCCTGAATGGCTAAGCAACATGCCCAAGGTTACACCAGCTATTATGTGGCAGAGAAGAAGAATGACTGACTACTTGAACATAAGACATAATTTGAATCATCTTTGTATTTCCATTTAATTAATAATTCTATTGTTTGATGGTTAGATGTCTAAAATTTTTATTTAAATTTTAAATAACTTTTCAAGGTTACATGTTACCCATTATGATTTCTTAAAATAAACGCATTTTTTTATTTTTAAAAAATTTTTGTTTGTTCTTCACAGGATGGACAACCGGAAATTTTCTACACATTTTGGAATTCAGTTACTCAGGCACTTTCTTCTCAATTTCATATGGCAACAAACTGTAAGTTTACTACTTATTTTGAAAATTAATTTCAAAGTTTTAAGTTATTTTATCATTTGATGTCAAGAAGCTTTGCTGTATTGGTTTACAAAACATTTTTATTGCTATTTTAAAATTCCTGGCTAATTGTTATTTTGTCTAGATGTTTAATCTGGAATCTCCTAGACATATATTCAGTAAACAAAATTTTTACACATTTTAGTAATTAATATTTAGAATAAAATTCTCCAGAAAAATAAGTCAATATCTTATTATTCAGACATCAGAAGAACTCTGTCTGAATTTTTCCTACGTAGAGTGTGTAAAGCAGTTAATGTTGAAAAATTTAGTTCATGCTTTTAGAATTAGTGTATAACTAAAAGATATAAAAATACAGAGGCTTTGCAAATTTTTTATTGTTAAAAATGAAGATTTAATGAATAAACAGGTGAAATATCTACATCGTGAATTAAAAGTTGGTCATTCAAATATGTTCCACAAAACTTTTTCTTAATTTCTTTATATCATGAAATAATGGACTGGTAGATCTATACAATGAAATATGCAAACCAGCTAATATCTTACGCGTGTGTTTGTCTAAATACTTTAGGTAAGAGCATATAATGTACCTAGGCCTTTAAAAAGTGTTAAGAGTTCATTTCTATTTAAATTTTTATTCACAAGCATTTACTAGAAGGACTTACTGTATGCTAAATATTATTTAGCCACTGCCCTCCCTACACTGACCAGAGTTAAATAAACTAGTCTGCTTGTCTCTCTACTTATTTCTAATGAAGTATGTAGTAAGACAGTAACCACAAAGAGGTCTTCATTCATTTGTAGCTAAACAGAACTTAACCTAATGGGATATTAGGATCCATTTACTCCATTTAGTTGTAGTGTTTCGTTTTCTTTTGTTTTGTTTTTTTCCAGACGGAGTCTTGCTCTGTCACCCAGGCTGGAGTGCAGTCACGTGATCTCGGCTCACTGCTGCCTCTGCCTTCTGGGTTCAAGCAATTCTCCTGCCTCAGCCTCCCTAGTAGCTGGGACTACAGGAATGTACCACCACTCCTGGCTAATTTTTTTGTATTTTTAGTAAAGACGGGGTTTCACCATGTTGGTCAGGCTGGTCTCGAACTCCTGACCTCAAATGATCGGCCCGCCTTGGCTTCCCAAAGTGCTGGGATTACAGGCATGAGCCACTGCGCCCGGCCTGTTCCGTTTACTTGTGAATCACACTGCTCATTTTGGGAGGGAATAAATATCGTATATTTCCTTGGTTTTTGTTTTTGCTCAGCTTTATTGAGATATAATTTATATGCAGTAAAAGTCACCAATTTTAAACATAAAATTCTATGATGTTTGACAAATGTTTACATTCATATAACCATCATTACAATTAAGATATAGAACATTTCCATCATCCCCAAATTTTCTTTATGTACTTTTGCAGTTTATCTGCTACCTTCACTCCCTGGGTCCTGGCAACAACTAGAATCATATAGTATGCATTATTTGATCATCAGCATAATTAAGATTCTTCCATGTTGTTGCATATATCGGTAGTCCATTTCCTTTTAAATTGTTGAATTGTATTCCATTGTGTAGATATATACCACAATTTTTTATCCATTCTGCAGTTGAGAAACAAGTTGGATTATTATGAATAAAGTTACAGTTATTTACATACATATATCTCTTTTGTGGACATATGTGTTCCTTCTCTTGTGCAAATATGTAAGGGTGGAATTGCTCAATTATTTGGTAAATGTTGTTTAACTTTACAGAAACTGCAGTGCTATAATCCAAAATGGATATACCATTTTGCATTTCCATCAACAATGTGTGATAGTTCCAGTTGCTCCACATTTTTGCCAATCCATGATATTGTCAGTTATTTTAATTTTAGTCATTCCAGTGGGTGTGTACTAGTTTTTTTTATTGGGGTTTTAGCTTCCACTAGACTAATGATGCTTTCTTAGTTCATTTGGGCTGCTACAACAAAATACCACAGACTGGGCAACTTATGCACAACAGAAATTTATTTCTCACAGTTCTGGAGAAATGGCAAGTCCAACATCAAGGTACTGGAAGATTTAGTATTTGGTGAGGGCCTGCTTCCTGGTTCATAGACTGTGCCTTCTGACTGTGTCCTCACGTGTTAGAAAAGGATAGGGAAGCTATCTGAGCCTCTTTTGTAAGTGCACTAATCTCATTCATGAGGATTTTCTCCCCCTGACCTCATCACCTCTGAGAGAATCCACTTCCTAACCCCATCACATTTGGTGAGTAGGTTTCAACATATGAATTTGGGGAGATAAAACCATTCAGACCATAGCAGATGTTGACCACATTTTCACAGGCTTAGATGCCATCTGTATAACTTTTTTGGTTTTGTGTTTGTCTAAAGGATTGTCCTCTGTTTTTATTGTATTTCTTGTTCTCTTAATGAGTCCCAAGGAATCTTTGCATATTCTGGGTTCAGAGTACTTCCTTAGTTGCATGTTTTGAAGATATTTTCCCCTAGAATGTGGCTTGGCTTTTTGTTTTCTTAACAGTGCCTTCCAAAGGACAAAAGTTTTAAATCCTGATCAAATTCAGTTTATCAAAGTTTTAAATAATTTGTACTTTTTTTTGACCTAAAAATTATTGCCTAATCCAAAGTCAGAAGCATTTCCTCTTACATTTTATTTTAGAAGTTTTACTAGGTTTGAGTTAATTTTCGTGTATGTTATGAGTTATCTCAACATTCATTTCTTTTAGAACATATGGCTCCAAAACATTATTCTCTGCCTATTGACTTCTTGGAAACTTTTGTTGAAAATCATTTGGTTATCTATAAGTAAGACTATTTCTGGACTCTGTTTGGTTCCATTTTTCTGAATGTCTATGTTTACATCAGTACAACAGGGTTTTCGTCACAGTAGTCAAAGTCCTCCTATTTTGTTCTTCTTTATCAAAGTAATTTTAGTTACCATAGGTCTTTTGCATTTCCATATGTGTTTCAGAATTTTGTTCCTCCAATAATTGACTCCTGGGATTTTGATGAGGATTGCATTGAATCTACAGATCAATATGTGATGAATTCACAGTTTAATATTGAGTCTTCTGATCCACATCCTGTATTATTCTATTTATTTAGGACTTTTACATTTTTTCTTATAAATGCTTTATAGTTTTTAGCATGCAGTTCTAACAAATCTTTTCTTAAATTTATCACTGTTTTATATATTTTGATGCTATTCTATATGTTATTTTTTCATTTTACTTTATAATTGTTGATTTTTAAAATAGAGAAATACAATTGATACTTGTATTTTGACTTTGTGTCCTCTGACTTTGCCAATCTTACTTATTCTAGTAGTTATTGGTGATTTCTTACAAATATGAAAGTCTCAGTTTTTGGAATAAAAGAAAGCAAATGTAAAACTCACTTATGGAAGCCCTTTGAAACCCTGATGTCTAAATTGGATAAAGAGGTGCCTTCTGATGGTAATCATTACTGGGAGGTGGGGGTGTAGAAGAAGTCCTGTTTTAACTTTGTTTGGACTCAGTTTACTGGGAAGGAAAGGATGTCTGTACTTAACCAATCATGGTTTTCTGTTCACTGAGCTTCCAAAAACATCAGTGTGAAGTTTTTCTTAAGCATTATCATCTCCTTTCTCTCAGAGAGTCCTGTAATTATGGAGAGGGTCTCATTTTACAGTGTGACAGAGGGGACCTATATTTATACCTTTAATTATACCTCCCTCTGATCTCTCTTTCCGTACTTATCCTTTAAGATACTAGACAATGAAATAGATCTTCTTTTACTGACCAACCTAACCTGCAATTGCAACCAGTTTTAGACTTGGACAACCAGAAAGACACCCTTGATATGCATCATGACTTAGGCTGGTTGGGGTTTCCTTGTGCTGATTACTGAATCTTGAGATCTCTTAGTGTTGCTGATGTTTAGATAAAAATTCAATCGAACAAAACAAGATTATATTTCCTACCATTCACACTAAGAGGGGAACCAGGAGCATTGCCAGTTTTCCATGGATGTTTGAATGATCTATGGCATTTTGCATAGAAAAGATATTCTAAAAGGAAAATTGTCATTGCAGAGTTTTATGTAAACAGATATAAATCCCTGTTGTTGCTATTAAGCCATCGCTCACATAGTCTAACCTTTAGTTACACACTTTAAAAATATTTAAAATAGTATAAGTAATTATTCCAGCATAAGGTAGGTAAAATCAACATCTGTCTTCTACTATTTATATAACAAAACTTCACAGAGTCACCAATTTTTCAGTGTTGACACAATTTTTTATCTTGTCTATGCCGTCTTGCCACCTCATTCTCCTTATCTCTCATTTGTCTAGCCCTAAGCTTGCCTGCATGGGTCTTTTCCAACATGTCACACTCTACAACATCAGAGTGTTCACTCTTTTCTAAAGAATTATACTTTTCAGTTTTTTTTGTTGTTGTTGTTTTGTTTTTTGAAATGGAGTCTCACTGTGTTTCCCAGGCTGAAGTGCAGTGACTATTCACAGGCACAGTCATTGCACGCTACAGCCTTGAACTCCTGGCCTCCAGTGACCCTGCTGCCATGGCCTTCTGAGTAGCTGGGCCTACAAGAGCACTACCACACCCAGCAGGTGATGTTTTTTGAAACTGGAGAAAACCAGTTTCTTATCACTCAGTCACTCAGCATAATAAATTAGAGATTAGTTGTGTTGGATCCTAAATCACGTAAATTTTGAAAAGAAAGAAAAAAGGTCATTTAATGGACTTTTACTTCCCTACATGGAAAGGTAACTGCTACTTTAGATGTTCTCCCATTATAAACTAGAACAGTGAGTAAAATTTGTGAAACACCTGTTTTCAGACATTGGGCAACAGGCAATATAGAACTGTGATCTCAGATAAACCAAAACAAATTGAACGCTAAAATCACCGCAGCTTTCTACCTGGCAATTTCCAGACAGCTGCACACACAAAAAAATGGGAATCAATATATAGTCTGCCATTCTTACTGATTCCAGAACTCTTTAAAGGATTACAACAAAATCTGTCACTTAACAATATAGTATCACATATTCAGCATCCAATTAAAATGAGTGGACATGAGAAGAAGCAGGAAAATGAGACCATAACCAGTAGAAACAGAGAAGCTGAAGTATCAGTAGTATAAGCAGACTAGGAATTTTAAAACACTTCTTATAAATGTTATAAATGTGCTCAAATATTTTAAAAATAACATATAATGAGATAAATGGACAGTATCAAGAAGAATCAAATGGAACCTCCACATATGAAAAATATAGTATCTGAAATTAAATGCAGATTTAACCCTGAGAAGAAAAAAAAAAAAATCAGTGAACTAGAAGATACAGCCATAGACATAATTCAGAATGAAGGACCAAGATTTAAAAACAAACTTAAAAAATTATTAGAGTCTTAGGACCCATGGGACACATCAAGCAATCTAACATATGTGTAATTGGAGTTTCAGAGCCAAGAGAGGAAGGGAAAAAGAAAAAAGTTAGAAAAAAATAGTTGTTGAAAATATGTGAAACATTTTTGTTATGGACTAAATGTTTATGTGCCACCTCTTCCAATTCATACACTGAAGCCCTAACCCCCAGTGTAACTGTATTTGGAGATAGGGCGTTTATGGAAGCAATTAAGTTTAAATGAGGTCACAAGGGTGGGCCCTGATCTTATAGGATTACTGTCCTTATAAGAAGTGACGCGAGAGAGCTTACTCACTCTCTATGTACACAGGCACAAGGAAAGGTCATGAGAGCACTTAGCAAGAGGGAGGCCATCAGCAAGTCAGGAAGAGAAACTCAGCCCTACCAGAACCTTGATCTTAGACTTGTATGTAGCCTCCAGAACTGTGAGAAATAAATTTTTGCTGTTTAAGCCAAAAAATCAAAAACAAAAAATTATTTATGGCTGTAGTTGCAATGCATCTGTTGTCACATATTAATTTAAAATGTGCTTTATCACTCTAAAAAGTTTTTTAAAACCTTGGGGTGGCTATCATTTTATTTTCTTTCTTTAAATGAGTACATTTAATTTGTACTTTGAATATTTCGTCTCTCAATATGACAGGAATCTACAAAGAAAAAAGCCATTGGCGGCCAGGTGCTATGGCTCATGCCTGTAATCGCAGCACTTTGGGAGGCCAAGGTGGGCAGATCATAAGGTCAGGAGATTGAGACCATCCTGGCCAACATGGTGAAACCCTGTCTCTTCTAAAATACAAAAAATTAGCTGGGTGTGGTGGCACGCGTCTGTAGTCCCAGCTGCTCCGGAGGCTGAGGCAGGGGAATCACTTGAACCTGGAAGGTGGAGGTTGCAGTGAGCCGAGATGGCCCCACTGCACTCCAGCCTGGCAACAGAGCGAACCTCTGTATCAAAAAAAAGAAAGAAAGAAAGAAAGAAAAAAGCCATTAGCATACTTTAAAAATTTCAAGCCTTTAACCATTATATCTTCCGATATTGTTTATTATTTATTGTTTTAGAACATTTTTAGTAAAATCGTAGAAGGTAAACTAAGGAAATCACAGAAACAATAAGTAAGTTGAACTCCACAGAATAAGACCGGGATGGAAATGCCCTTGTCCGCTCATTCTAACATCTATGTTAATTCCGGGTTTTTGTTTGGTTGAATTTTCTTTCCATCAGACCTGATATTTTTCTACTTATTTGCATGTCTAATAATTTTTATTGGATATTAAACATGAACTTAACCTTGTTTGGGGCTGATTAATTTTGTCATCTCTAATACTGATAGTATCAGATACTTAAAGACAGTTTGATCCTTTTGAATATTGCTTTAAGATTTATTAGCAAATTCAAAGCAGTAATAATCTGCTATTTATTTCCCAGTTATGAGGCAACATTCTTCTTAATACCCTCAAATTATTACCCTGTGAATTATGAGGTTTTCCAGCCTGGCTTTAGAGAATAGGGATTATTCTCAATCTTATGTGAATGTAACAGGATGTTCCCTCTAAACCTTTTTCATAGTTTTCCCCCAAACTCTGGAAGTTTAATGCTGATCAGTGCTTTGCTGAATACTCAAAGGGAACCCTTTGCACATCTCTGGAATTCTCTGTCTATGCGCCTCTGTTCTCTCCGGTATTCTATTTTGTGAACTCTAGTTGTTTCTGTTTGGCTGTTCTGGGAGGGGATAGAAGGAAGGGTATTTTCCCTCTTTCCGTGCCATGGCCTGGAAAGTCCTTTAAGGTAATGAGCTGGGGCACTCATAGGGTTCATCTCATTTGTTTCCTGACTCTGAGGAATCACCGTCCTATGTTGCATGTTAAATGTCTTGAAAGCCATCTTTCATATATTGTGTATTTTTTGTTGTTTCAGATAGGTTGGTAAATCTGGTCCCTATCATATCATTGTGACCATAAGCAAAAGTTCCTCATTAAAATTTCAATGAGAAACTTTTGCTTATGGTCATGATGATTTAAATAGTGATTAAAATATTTAATGATTCAAATTTAAATAATGATTAAAAGTATATTTCAGAATATTATATGGGAGTGTGTGTGTACGTTTATTTAGTGATACTGCCATTTACTTGTCAGTGATTATCTGCTTTTCTTTCTTTTTTTTTCCTGAGACAGAGTCTCACTGTGTCCCCCCGGCTGGAGTGCAGTGGTGCATCTCCATTGACTGCAAGCTCCGCCTCCTGGGTTCACGCCATTCTCCTGCCTCAGCCTCCCGAGTAGCTGGGACTATAGCCGCCCGCCACCACGCCTGGCTAATTTTTTTTTTTTTTTTTTTTTTTTTGTATTTTTAGTAGAGACTGAGTTTCACTGTGTTAGCCAGAATGGTCTCAATCTCCAGACCTCGTGATCCGCCCGCCCTGGCCTCCCAAAGTGCCGGGATTACAGGCGAGAGCCACCACGCCCTGCCTGCTTTTCTTTTCTTAACCATTACAAACCTTCAGTATTCTCCACATGTCTTCCTTTATCTCCTGGGTCATTAGGACAATTAATGTCATTAAGAAATTTTTTCCTGTACCTTTCTTCCAAATAAGAGCCTTATTTCCTCCCTTTGAGCCTCAGAAGATAACTTAACTTCTTCTTCAAGGTCACCCATTTACCTGGTGCCCAGACCTACTCTGTTTATTTCTCTCTCCTAGCATCATCATTTATATTTCTCCTTTTTCTGTGTTGGATTTCTCCTTCTCTTTTAATTTCTTTTCCTCAGCTATAAACCTATTCATGTTGCTCCCATGTAATAAAAAATAAAACAAAACTAGAAAGTTCCTCTTTAGTTGCTGTTTACTCTCTCTCTTTTTATGTAAATTTCTCCAAAGAGTAGTTTGCATTTTTTGGTGTTCATTTTCATTCTGTTGATTTCTCAACTAGGTGTAATCTGGCTGTCTTCCATCATTCTATTGAAATTGTTCTCATTAAGGGAAGCAATGACCTACTTTTTAATTGCCAGCGTATGTTTTCAGTTCTTATCTTATGGGACCTATCTGTCTTGTATAGTGAAAGAAGCTAATGACAGGAAACATACAATATGTAGACAGAAAATCCCATTAATATTTCACCTTAGGAATAGCCTGCTACTTCTAATACCATAATTACTTTAATAACTTCCTTTGGGAGAACTCCAAAGTAAGTTGTTTATAAAGTACCTTCAATTTTTATAGCACATACAGTCCCTGAAGTGTACTGTAGTACTTCTTAGAATTATAGACAGGCAATATTAAGGAAGTGCAACCATCTGCAGAGTTGAGGATTACACACAATGTAACAGATTGTCTAAGTAAGTAATGTTTTGGCAAAGTATATCTAAAGGAAAATGTTCCTAGTTAGGAATATGTTCTTTCTGATTATACATGTTCATGCTTAGTTAAAAAAAAAAAAAGTTCTATTAGAAGGTAATCCAAGAGCTTGACAATAAATTTACTTCTTTTTGGAAGTATGCTTGAAAAATCTAGCAAGTACATCTCTTTTTACATGTCTAAAACCCCTTGTGCAGTATTAGTCTCTGAAAACTCTTAAGCCACTCAAAGAAGTTGTTCATACAAGTTAGAGTGCTAACATGGTTATATATCTGTAATACTTGGCTTCCCAAACCAAGAATGAATAAGAGATACATTGAGATATATGTGTTACCAGATTTTAAAAGTTTTAAGGCTTGAAATACTGTATACTAAAGCTCATTATCTTTACCTTTTTAAAACATATAGTGATAAAGAGTCAAATCTTTCCAAGAATTAGGGAGATAAAACAAACTATATGAGAATGTATGTTCTTTAAAAAAAAAAAAAAGATTAGAATAGTATGCAAGTTGAGATCATATTGTGAATATTTCTTGAAAATTAATGTCTACCTTAATATGTATATACTTAGGGAGATAAACCTAATATACTCATTTAAAGTACTTTTTAGAATTTTGATCCTTGCAATGGAAGTATTTTGTTACATAGTTCTAATGAGCCTATAAAGTACCATCCTAACACTGTAACACAAAAAGAAAACTTGCAATTTGTGTTAAGGGCTTGAGATAAGAGGGATCTTTTAGGAAAGTACTAAAAGTTTATATACCTTGGAAGAAAGTAAATCTAGCTATCAAGTAAGTGCTTTGATGTTCTGTTTGGCAGAACAAATTTGATCATGTCATTTTCTGATTAAAATCCTGCATTGACTTCCAATAGTCTTTGTTTTGTTTTGTTTTATTTGAGACAGAGTCTTACTCTGTTGCCCAGGCTGGAGTGCAGTGGCACGATCTTGGCTCACTGCAACCTCTGCCTCCTGGGTTCAAGCAATTCTCCTGCCTCAGCCTCCCAAGTAGCTGGGATTACAGGCACGCCCACCATGCCTGGCTTTTTTTTTTTTTTTTTTTTTGTAGTAGAGATGGGGTTTCACCGTGTTACCCAGGATGGTCTCTTATCTCCTGACCTCGTGATCTGCCCGCCTCGGCCTCCCAAAGTGCTGGGATTACAGGCGTGAGCCGCTGTGCCCAGCCAGACTTCCATTAATCTTTTAAAAAAGTATTTATTAAGCTATAATACTCATTAAGAAAAAGTGTACATATCATAATTTCACACCTAGATGAGTTTTTCAAATTTTAAAACATCTGTATAACTAAGATCAAGTACAGCATCAAGAATAAGAAACAGTATTATCTGTAGTCCAGATGTTCCCTTCATGTCCCCTTCTAGTTTCTACCAGCCCCTCTCAACAAGAGATTTCTAATGGAATTTTTTCCACTAATTTCTAATGGAATTTTTTAAAATTGTTATTTTTCTTTTATACAGATAAAATCATCTAGTTTGTGCTCGTGTCTCCTGTGTGACTTCTCTTGCTCAAAATGTTTCTAAAAGTCCCCCATATTGCTGCATGTACTTGTAAGTCATTCTCAAAATGGTAAAATATTCCATCCTGTGAATATACCATAATATGTTTATCTTTCATATTATTGATGAGCATTTGGGTGATTTCCCATTTTGTGCTACTTTAAATAATGGTACCATGACAATTCTGTGCAATTTTGGGAAATTAACTCAAAAATGGAAAATTGATAGGCAGAATAATAGTCCTTCCAAAGAGTTCCATGGCCTAATCTCCAGAATCTGTGATTATGTTACCTTCATAGCAAGAGGGATTTTGCGGATGTGAGTTAAGGATTTTAAGGTAGAGAGATTATCAAGATAATCTCTGATCATCTGAGTGGACCCAGTGTAATCATATAGTCCTTTTAAGAGTAAGAGGAAAGCAGGACTCAGAGGAGGATATGTGATAATGGAAACAGAGGTAGGAGTAATATAATTGCTTGAAGGGGGGCCACAAACCAAGGAATGCAGGCAAGTGGAAAAGACAGGGACAGAATTCCCCCTAGAACCTCCAGAAAGAACATGACTATACTGCTGACACATTGATTTTGGCTCAGTGAGACCAATCTCAGACTTCTGACCTCCAAAACTATAAGAAAATACATATTAGTTGTTTTCTCAGCTTATTAGGTACTGTCAGAGAGTTTTCCAACATGGTGGTACTCATTTAAACTCTCCTTGGCAGTATATGAGAGTTCTAGTTTTTCCACATGCTTGTTAATATTCGGTATTGTCTTCCTCTGGCATTCCAGTTGTGTATATAGAGGCTGATTATTTCAGTTCACTCTAGGATTGGGTTGGTGTGGGGCAGGTGCAGTTTTAATAAACACTCAGTTTGCCTTTCATTCTCCTCTTTTACTTTGACATGCTTCTCCCAAGCTTTTAATTGAGAAGTTGGAGAGTCTTTGTCCTGAAATACTGAGGTTGATCTAGCTTTGCTGTCCAAAGATTCACAGACTTCCCACCTCATGAAACTTTAGACCTAGTGAATGTCTTCAGGATAAGACCTTGCTTGTGTTTGTGGCACGTCCTTTCCCCACAGCTGGTCTTTTGTTTCCTAAGCCTCACAAATGGGAAGAAACTTCTACTCCACTTTTTGAAGATTTACACCTAATTCCCTGGCTTCCCTCACAATCGCAGAACTCAGCAAATGTTCCATGGGAAATCCAGTTTGAGATTCCTTCAGTTTCTAATTTTTCACTCCTGTCCTGTGAACCCCTAAAAGCTTTGTTAGTTTTTCCCTTCTTCTGCCGAGGTCCTCTGCTTCTGCCAAGCATGAATTTTTTTAAATAGATAAGCCTTCTTTAATTGTTACAAGAAGTGAACTGGTCTGCCTCCACTCTTCTTCCATTACTCTCAAAATGCAATTCGAATATGACTCTTCTGGTCCCTTCCTATTTCCTCAGCACTCATTAATTTTCTTTCTATGTCTTTATCTCATACTTAAGCCTGAATTGTTGAATGAATCACCCTCTTTCTCCTCAGCATTTACAAATACCTGAAACACGTGTCTATATCCTCCCCATCATCTCTGTAACTCATACTTGTCTTTTCAGTCTCAGAGTAGAAATGAAGTGTTCCCTGACGCCTCTTTCCCCATGCCCACCCAAACATGAGCAAGACCTCTTCTGTCAGTTCCCACAAAATTCTTAATGTACCCGATTTCAGCACTTAGCCCACTGCATTATAATGGCTCATCTACTAGCTTATCTGAGTCTCCCACTGGGCTCTGCAAAAAGCTTCTGCCTACCTCTTTCCATGCTATAGTCCTGTCAGAGAACACAATGCTCAGTAAATAACGTTCTGTTGAGATGGATCCCTAAAGTGTTAAATATTTAAAGTCTTTATTAATTTGAAGGACCTCTGAAGAGAAAACGAACTGTAAAAATCAAAATAATCTTAATTTTTAAAAACAGACATAAGCTAAAGGAGACCCAAATATGAAATACTTTTATAAAACAAACAACAATATCTATACATGATAAACAGGGACATGAAAAGATGGTTGCAGGAGCATTAGTGGTGATTATTATAGGATGGGAAGCTAGGATGGGTTCACAGAAAAAAAAAATCCCCAGTTTACTCTGTATGTCAGGGTAAATTCCAAGTGGATCAAACAATTACATATGAAATATGAAACCATTCAAGCCTAGAATAAGCTAGGAATCGGGGGAAAATTTTCTGATTCAACATCCAGAAGCAATGATGAAAACCTTGATGATTTGATTATGTTAAAAAATTTTTTGCATGGAAAAAAACCTTGAGCAAAAAAAAAGGAAAAATGACAAAATAGAAAAAAAATTTTTAATTAACACTAAAGGTAAGGCATTAGTATCTCTATTATATAAAAAGCTTCTAAAATGGGAATTAAAAAGCCAAAAACTCTATAGGGAAAAAAATGTGGCCGGGCGCGGTGGCTCACGCCTGTAATCCCAGCACTTTGGGAGGCCGAGGCAGGTGGATCATGAGGTCAGGAGATCGAGACCATCCTGGCTAACAAGGTGAAACCCCGTCTCTACTAAAAATACAAAAAATTAGCCGGGCGCGGTGGCGGGCGCCTGTAGTCCCAGCTACTCGGGAGGCTGAGGCAGGAGAATGGCGTGAACCCGGGAAGCGGAGCTTGCAGTGAGCCGAGATTGCGCCACTGCAGTCCGCAGTCTGGCCTGGGCGACAGAGCGAGACTCCGTCTCAAAAAAAAAAAAAAAAAAAAAAAAAAAAAAAAAATGTAAATACGCTCGATATCACTTATAAATAGAGAAATGCAGAACGTACAGAGAGACATTATTTCTCATCTATCAAATCAGCAAAAAATCAAAAAGTTTGATAACATACTCTATTGGCAAGCCCGTGAGGAAAAGTCAGTCTCACACATTGTTAATTAGCATACAAACCTTATGGAGGGGCATTTGTGAGTTCTCAACAAAATTATATAAGCAGCTACTCATTTACCCCGAAATTCTACTTTTAAGGATCTATCGCATAGATGCACTGGCAAAAATTTAAACAGACATTCGCCGGGCTATTTGTTGCATGATTATTTGGAATACCAAAAATTGCACACAACCCAAATGTTCATTATTGTGACATTAGTTAAACAAACTATGTTGAATCCACAGAACGGAATGTTGAATCCATAGAATTCCATAGAATGGAATGGATTTTTTTTTTTTACATATGTGCTGAGAACTTTTATTGATGCCAGTCGAGATTAATGAAATGTAGAGCATCTTTGTTGAAGATAAACTGAGGGAAATACCACAACTTTCCATTGCTGACAGGCCTTTGTTATCCAGCTGTCTCAGTCCTGGGTGTGTGTACTGGGTGCATGCCCTTGCCTCTTCTTTTGGGATGTCTTAGTGTTAGCACCTGCTCCCTAATGACTAGCTTTTCTGCATAGTTTGAATGAAGCTACTTCATTTTTGTTTTTTGTCTTCGAGCAGTTTTCAGTTTTTAGTTTTTAAGAACTGTCCTCTAACTGGTTTAGAAATTTGTCCAGCCTTTTGGGTTGTATTCCACACATGTTCTTTATCGTTTCTTCTCCCTTCAAGGGTGTCCGTAGCATCTGCCATTAGCGACTGCAGCACTAATTTTTATTTTAGCATTTTGTGAATTCCCCAAGTTGTACAGAACACTTGTGTTTACATTGTTTTTATAGAACTAGCAGAATAATACTGATGTATTTTAAAAAAAATGCAAGCCATTGCTTCTCTAATTTGCCCACAAAGTGGGCAGCTTAAATTCTGTGAAACATCTTTATAAAGTTTATGAGCTTTTTATTCCACTTCTGGTGAGCCATGGTTGTGGCTTTATGAAGTAGCACTGTGTGATCGGTATATTAATATGCTTCTACAACGAGCTTTTTCTTTGCTCGTGTTGGATTGTCTGGGGAAACATCCCAAGTCTAACTGGTATCACTGGGGAAGTTAATCACATGATATTAACTATAGTTTGGGAGAGTGGCACATGCAGCTATAAAAAGAAATGAGGGGAAAAAAGGAATGAGGAATATCTTTACATACTGCTTTGGAGAGGTCAAGATTGTTAAGTTAAAAATCAATGGCTAAATATGTGTATAGTACACTTTTGTTTACCTAAGAAAGAGGTGACATAAATATACATTTTCCTTATATTTTTAAAAAACTGAAGGATAAACTATAAAATCCAGAAAAATGGTTGCCAGTCCTTGGGAGAGAGGGGGTTGGGTATGAAGAATACATTGGCAGGAACAGGGATAAAAGCTAGACTTTTGTGAATATACGAATATACTTTTTGTGTAGATTTAAGTTTGAAGCCATATAAGTATTTTACACATTTATAAAACAAAATGAAAATGAAAAAATTCCTAAAATTACAAAGTAAAATTAAATAAGTGAATGTAGATGTGTGACACAACCACACAAAGCCAACTCTTTCATTTGACTTTCTGCTTATTTGATGCCTTTACTTTTAAACTCAGTAATTTGTTTCTTGTATTCCTACTGGGATACCCTTAAAGGACAACAAAAACTGCCCCCACAACCCATGAACTCTTTTCAGTAATCAAGATATTGATGGTAGCATTACTACTACACCTACTAGCTTATCTGTGTCTCCCACTGGGCTCTGCAAAAAGCTTCTGCCTACCTCTGTTCCATGCTATAGTCCTATCAGAGAACACAGTGTTCAGTAAATAACAGACATTCTGTTGAGATGGATCCCTAAAGTGTTAAATATTTAAAGTCTTTATTAATTTGAAGGAACTCTGAAGAGAAAACGAACTGTAAAAATCAAAATAATCTTTATTTTTAAAAATGGACTTACATGCTAAAGGAGACTTGTTATTTTCAGACTGTTGTGTGTGTAGTGTGGGATAAAGTAAATGAATAATCATATTGATATGATAGCATTTTCAGCATGAGAGAATGAAGATGCAAAGTGAATGAGATCAAAGTGAAGTGATGATGTATTTTTTTCTTTAAAAAATATTTGATTTATATATATTTCATAGCTCTGACCACCGAAAAGCCCTAGAAATAATTGTCATTCAGTAGTACTGAACCCCTTTATCACTTATGTTGTGGTCTTTCCACATGATTTCCCATTTTAAAAAACCATAATTCCATGAGGAAATGGCTGATTCCAGATCTGGGGCAGGAAATGTATAGAATAATTCTGTAACCCTTTACATTAGAAAGCCAAGGAGATATCAGAGACTACTGGGGTTGTATTGAAAGGGCTCAGAAAACACTTTGAATAGACCATCTACCAAAGATGGAATAATTTTAGTATACAATAAAGATAACAATTGCAAGGGATTGTCTAAATCCACCATACATTCATAGTGATACAAATAAAGAAATACTTTTTTTATTGGTAATGGTTGGTTACCATTAATGATGGTATGGAACTTTGAAAACTGGTAAATAAAAGGAACACGATCAAACATGTTTTTCTGCCTTTCCTAAACAAATGATACCTCAGAGAAACCAAATAATTCATGAGATAAATTTCTATTTATTTAAGTATTGCCTCTAATAAATGCAGAATGAATGTTGGAATCTCTTCATTTTGCAGTCTTCAATGAATTAGCAGACCTAAGGATGATTATTAGTGGCTGCTAATTTTATTTAAAAAGGCAAACACTTCAGAAAATTCAGTCACTACATATGCAGTAGTCCTGTTAGAAATGATAAAACCTGGAATCTGATCAAATTCTTACCTATATCAGTGGTTTTCAACTTGGTTGCTCTTTAGAATCACTTGGACAGTGTTTAAAAATCCCAAAGCCTGGGCTGTAATTACATTAGAGTCTCTAAGAGTAAGACCCAAACATAAGGAATTTTAAAAGCTCCTCAGTTATTTCAAGATGCAGTCAAGGTGAAAAACACTATTTTAGATTCAACTGATGATTTACAGGAAATACAGGATCAGAGGATGGAATCTGCAAAATCTAGGCTATGGGAAACTCTGTAGGACAAATGTCCCAGTTTCTTAGACAAATAATGAAAAAGAATAAAATGAGAGAACTACAGATTAGGTTGATGATATATCAACTAGTTATAATAGGTGAACTATTTATGGATCCTAAATCAAACAAAGCATTAAAAAATTCCTAACTCAATCAGGCAGATGTCACCACTGATTGTTAATTTTGTAAAGTATAAGAGAACTGTGGCTATGTATTTTTGTGTAATTTTTATTTTTATTTCAATAATTTGTAGGGTTCAGGTGGTTTTTGGTTACATGGATAAGTGTTTTAGTGGTGATTTCAGAGATTTTTGTACACCCATCACCCAAGCAGTGGGTGTACCCAATATGTAGTCTTCTATTCCTCACCCCACTCCCACCCTTCTCCCCCATCATGTCCCTAAAGTCCATTATATCATTCTTATGTCTTTGCATTCATATAGCTTAGCTCCCACTTATAAGTGAGAACATACAATATTTGATTTTCCATTCCTGAGTTACTACACTTAGAATAATGACCTCCTGTGGCTATATAAAGAAAATAGTTCCTACTATTAGATATACTTGTGATTATGAGTGAAATGATAGAATGATATTGGCTCCAAAATAACTGGTAGTGATGGAGGGGCATTGGCCAGGATATAGATAAAAACAAGAGTTGACAAATGCTGAAACTAAGTGATGGATACACAGAGGTTCATTATACTATTCTCTCTACATTATATGTTTGAAACCTATAAAAACAGTGTTTTCAGAATTTTAAGGAAAGCACTTAAGGCAGAGGAAGGAAGTCAGCACAGAAGAATAAAGAAAAATTTAGAGAAGTAGAAAATACAGGAAAGAATGGGGTCATGGACAGTATTTTTCAAAGGAGAGAGTGATCAACAGAAATCAAATGAGAGATCAGAAAAACGCCCACTGTTGTTGGCAATTGGAATGATAGCGTGATTTTCACCAGAATAATTTCAGTGGTGTTGTGGCAGTTGAAAGTCTGGCTGCAGTCTGGAAGAGGCAAGCAAATGTGTGCAGACTGTTATTACAAGGAGCAACAGGACAGTGGCTGCAAATGAATAGTTTATAGAGTTAAGGCGGAGTGTGTTGGCATCTTGTTTGTACTTTTTTATATCATGAGAGAGCATGTTCAGGCATCTTTTATTGATCCTAAGAGGAAGCCAGTAGAAAGTGAGGTGCTAAAAATACAAAAGAAACAAATAATCTTGGAGGAGATGAGTTGGGATGAAACAGAGAACAGAAATTGAGAAATAGGTCTTGGACGTGTGTTCCTGTCAAAGTTGAAGACTAGAAATAGACGGGAAGAAGGTAGAAAATTGAAGAGTTTCTTTCCTAGAAGCCTTTGTTTTTCTGTGAGATAGGAAAGATGGCCATTTTCCTATCACCAGTGGATTGAGGCTTACAGAGTTAGAAGTTTGGAAGAGATTGTGTATGCTTTATATCCCTGTTAAAAAATAAGGGATTGCAGTACAGAATGCATACCTAGTTGGTATTGGATTCCATAACTTTGTGTTGCTGCCATTATGAGGAGGAGAAACAATAGAAAACCAAAATGTGAGAAATCTCTTAGGGCTATAGACAGATATTTTCATTCATTCCATCCTAATATTTTGTATATAAGACTTGCATTTTAATATCTGTTAATCTTAAATGAGATTTCTCTGAGTTTTACAAAGGTCTGTTTTATTTCTATTCTGGCTTGAGTTTTTCTGAACTATAATTAAAGAAAATTACATTTATTTACAATTAGCTTTAGTTCATATAAATGTTTATTTGCTTCTAAAAATTATTACCCACTTCAGTGGCTAAAGCAGAAAGAATGATGAAAAACATTAACTTGGGGCAAATGACTTAGCTGTGTTTTGTTCTGGTACTCTTATTGTATGTCTGAACTATTTTTAGTGTATTTGGGCATTTTTTTCCAATAATACTCTAGACAATTATATTTTTTATGTAAAACTGATTTTGTTTTGTCATTGTTTTGTATTAGAAAGGATTAATATACTTTACAGTATATAAGTATTTGAAAAGTAGGTGTTTGCAAGTTTGCTGTATGGCCCTTAGTATTTGACTTTTATATAATTCCCATTAATGTGAATGAAATATGATATATTTTATTGTGGCAGAAAGATTCTAAGATCGCCTTCAGTACATCTGTCTACTGGTATTGGCACACTTTTGTAATCTTTTCTTCTTAAATATAGGCAGAACTTGCTTCTAACTTGTACATACAAAGTGCGTATCCCTCCTGTGATTAGGTTGCATACGGTTTTAACCTCCATTTTGCTCTCAGGCGGTCTCTCTATTGCCTTCTTTGCTTGCACATTTTGACGATACAAGCAGCTGTCATACCATTCCACTTGGCAAGAGCCAAGGTCAGCTTCCAGCTAACAGCAAGCTAGAAACTGAGGCTCTCAGCTCACAAGGAACTGAATCCTGCTAACAACCACAAGAGCTTGGAAGCAGATCCTTCCCCAGTTGACTCTTCAGATGAGACTCCACCCATGGTTGATACCTTGATGACAGCCTTGTGAGAGGTCCTGAAGCAGAGGACCAAACTAAGCCATGCCAGGATTCCCAACCCAAAGAAATTATGATATAATATATGTATGTTTTTAAAATAAGCAGTTAATGTTTATGGCAAGTTGTTACATGACAATAGATAACTAGTACATTTATGAAACAAAACATTCAAGACATCCTAAAGGCAATAGATTACTGGCTTCCTTTGCTTTCATAATCTGGGTGATATAGGTGAAGGCCTGGCAGTTGATTGAGAACTGGGCCAGTTAGGAAAAGGAATGAGCAAGAAATGGGTAGCAGCCTGCTCACAAAGGCGGCACTTAATTAAGCTATGAAGGCTGACTGTTTCAGGCCAAATCCTCCAAACAACAGGCAGTTCTCTTAAAATATGACCAGCAGCCTCTACTAGGATAATCTATTCCATGTCCTTTGCATTTGCTGTTTCTTCTATCTGAATTGCTCTTTCCCTGAATATCCAGATGGAGCATATCCTTGCTTCATTCAGAGAGGTCCTCCCAGGTAAGTACATAAAATAGCACATCCTGTCTGTCTCTTCTCTAACCTTGCTTTATTTTTCTTCAAGACATTTAGCACTTCCTGACATTATGTTACATAATGACTTGTTTATTGTCCTTCTTCACTCGAGTATAATCTCTATATGGAAAGGAACTTGCTTATTTTGTTTACCCTTGCATATCCAGCTTTTACAACAGTATTTGGCATGTAGTAAGTGGTCAGCAGATATTTGTTGAATGGATGAATGCTTAAATCCTTCCAGGTATATTTGGCACTGCCCAGTATTTGGGCATCTGAAGGTTGGCAGAGTTTTAAGGAGTACTGCCTTTTCTTGGCCAGACCGCAGCCAGTTTCCTAGACAGGAGGTCTTTGGTCCTTTTATAGGGAGATGCAGGAGAAGCAGCGTCATACAGGCTGAGGTTTAGGCACAGCTAGTCAAGACTAAGACAAGACCTAAGATTGCTCCAACTCTGGGATAAAGAATACATTAGAGCTGTCCTGTGAAGCCTTAAACCAGGGATGTAGGGGTAGTAAGAAGATTAAGATAAGGCTGATATAACTCCAAGGGGGAAATGACATAACTCCAAACCTAGACCCCCTTTTCATTCTACTTTCAATTCATTTGTTCATTCAGTAATTGAATGCTAAGTGTTAAATCTAGGTAAAAGAAACACAGAGGAAAATAAGACAAATAATAACCCTGCTTTCATTTAACTCACATTTTAAAGGGGAAGGACAGTCAATACAAATTAGTAACTTCTTACAGTGTTCAGGGCTAGGGAAGAAAATAAAAGAAGGTACTGGAATAGAGAAGATGGGAAGAGAGAAATTGAGCACATAGACTATTTATATCCTTTAATCTTCATGTGAATTAGGTCAAGGTTTCGGATGGGTCTGTCCCTACACATTTTGGAAACTGTGGGGGTTCTTTTTGCAGTGAATTCAAGAAGACAAAGATAGGGGAATAAAATCAAAGGCATACTTTCTTAATCAGAGGTTTTTCCCCAGACCTATTATTACCTGGTAGGAGTACAATACATAGAATTATCTTCTAAATTATAAAATATTGTTTTAATAGTAATTAGGTTGTTTAATGTGAGTTTAATTTCCACATTTGTGCCTGTGTTGTAATCACTAGTGATTAATTTAAAAAAAACAAGTTTGCACAAGGCAATAATCTGAATAATACATTCCCAGGTAACTGGGAATTAACCTGTAATTTTCCTTGTATAAATTATTTGATTATCAGAATGTACAGTAGGTGTACTATAAATTTTCATCAAATAATTAAAATTGTATAGGTAATATGAACACTTTATAACTACATATCAAATAAATTACAGTAGAACTTACCTTTGGCTGGGTGTGGTGGCTCATTCCTGTAATCCCAGTGCTTTGGGAGACTGAGGTGGGAGGATTCCTTGAGCCTAGGAGTTTGAGACCAGCCTAGGAGTTTGAGCAACATAGGGAGACCTCATCTCTACAAAAATTAAAAAGTAAATAAAATTACCTGGGTGTAGTGGTGCATATCTATGGTCCCAGCTACTTGGGAGGCTGAGGTAGGATTGCTTAAGCCCATGAGGTCAAGGCTACAGTGAGCCGTGACTGTGCCACTGTACTCCAGCGTGGGTGACAGACTGAGACCTTGTCTCTAAAAACAAAAAACAAACAAACAAAAAAACTTAGTGTCAAGATTTAAATATATAATACTTGTTTGTAAGCTTTAAATATAATTGACTTAAGTAACTTACAGTTAATTAATCAATCACATTTGCTGAGATAATATAGACAAAGTTTGGCTTAAACCCTCAGTAGTAATTTGTTCTGTATAGATAAGATTTTTGTGAAAATGATACTGTCCCCTAAAAAGAAAAAACATATTCAACTGGGCATGATAGCTCACACCTGTAATCTCAACACTTTGGTGGCCGAGGTGGGAGGATCATTTGAGACCAGCCTGGGCAACAAAGTGAGACCTCATCTCTAAGAAAAAAAAGAAAAAAAACCAAAAACTTCATTCTATTATTTAAGAAATATTTACTTCTGCTATTACAAGGCACTGTGCTAGGTACCAAACGTGCTTTGAAGAAAAAAGGCATTGTCCTTGCCTTCATGGAGTTAACAGCCAAGTAGGAGAAACATACTTCAAACAAATATGTTTAGAACTTTATTACAACACAGCAAGAATCATGAGCATTAGCATATTGTTTTTTAGTTTCACATGCCTCCAAATATTATAGGGTGATATGACATGGGCCCATGTGGATGGTGCATGTACAGAGATTGCATGGCAGGTAAGGAACTTTCAGCTTGAAGAAACTACTACTTTTGTAGTGAATAGTAAATGAGTCTGCTATCTGTCTGCAGGATGATGTTACCATATCTCTCAAGATTTCTTGCCAAATACAAGAGCAAACCCAGGGCCTTGCATTATTGGCATGCCGTGAAAGAACATATAGTGTTACTTGAGGCCCATGGTGCATTGCTGCTTTATCAGGGAAGAGGGAGGCCAAAGAAGTTTTCTCTGAGATAATTTCTCTTAAATAGCTTTACTGAGGTATAGCTGGCATACAATAAACAACACGTCTTGAAAGTATACAATTTGATATGTTTTGACATATGAGTACACCCCTGAAATCATCACAATAATCAATCAGTGAACATATTCATCACTGCCAAAAGTTTCCTTGTACAGCTTTGTAATTACTGTCTCCACTATCTCCCTCCCCCATTCCCAGGCAAACACTGATCTGCTTTTTGTTACTATATGGTAGTTTGTAGCTCCCAGAATTTTGTACAAATTGAATGATTTAGCATATATTATATATTCTTATTTGTTTGGCTTCTTTCATGCAGCATGATTTTATTGAGATTCAGCTATATTGTAGTATGTTTTTGTTGTTGCATAGTATTCCATTGCATGGATATATTAGTTTGTTTATGCATTGGCCTGTTGATGGACATTGGATTGTTTCCAGTTTTTGCTACTACAAATAAAGATACTGTGAATGTTCAGGTACAATTCCTTATATAGATATATACTGTTATTTTTATTGGACAAATATCTAAAAGCAGAATTATTTAACAATATGTTAGGTATATAGTTAACATTTTAATGAAATGCTAAATTCTTTTGCAAAATAAGTATACAATTTTTTATCTCCACAAGCTATACAAGAGTTCTAGTTTGTTTATCCCTGCCAATATTTGATATGGTCATTTTTTTTTTGAGGCAGAGTCTCACTATGTTGCCCAGGCTGGAGTGCAGTGGCACGATCTTGGCTTACTGCAACCTCCACCTCCTGGATTCAAGCAATTTTCGTGCCTCAGCCTCCCAAATAGCTGGAATTACAGGTGTGCACCACCACACCTGGCTAATTTTTGTATTTTTAGTAGAGATGGAGTTTCACCATGTTGGCCAGGCTAGTCTCAAACTCCCGACCTCAGGTGATCCACCCACCTCAGCCTCCCAAAGTACTATTCACTACACAAGCCACTGTGTTCGGCTGTGGTGTGGTCACTCTTTTTAATTTTAGTCATTTGAACAGTTATGTAGTTGTATCTCATTGTGGTTTTAATTTGCATTTCCCTATTGACTAAAGAGGTTGAGTATTTTTTTCATGTGTTTGTTTGCCATTCATATACCTTCTTTGATAAAGTTCCCATTTTTGAAGTTAGGCTATTTTCTTGTTATGGAGACTTGAGAGTTCTTTATGTGTTTTAGATAAAAGTGCTTCATCAGATATATGTGAAATTGATTTTCCCTTTCTGGGGCGTGTATTTTCATTTTCTTAGCCGTATTTTTTTTGAAGAGCAGACACTTTTAATTTAGATGTTGTCCAGTTTATCAATTTCTTTTGCAGACCATACTCTTGGTTTCATATCATGTCTAACTCAAGGACAGAAAAGTTCCCTCAGATGTTTTCTTTTAGAAAATTTAATCTTTTTTGAGTTAATTTTTGTATAAGGTACAGAGTGTGGGTTAAAGAGGGTATTTTTGCATATAGCTATTCAATTGTTACAGTATCATTTGTTGAACTCTACCCTGTGTCTACTAAATTGTGTTTGCACCTTTGTCAAAATTCAGTCTGTCAGATATGTGTGGGTCTATTTTTGTACTCTCTATTCTGCACCATTAATCTATGTGTCTGTCTTTACCCCAGTACTAGTGTATTAATTATTATAGTTTTATATGTCTTGAAATCAGGTTGTATTAGTACTCCAACATTGTTGTTTTTGTTGCCCTGACTATTCTGGGTTCTTTACATTTTCATATGATTTTTGGATCATTTTTTCAATTTCTACTAAAAGAAATCCTGCATTGATTTTAAATTAGATTACATTTAATATATAGATTAATTTAGGGATAATTTACATTTAACAATATCTTGGAACTGTGAATATTCTCTCTTTCCATTTATATAGGTCTTCTTCATCTCAGCATTGTTTTTGTAGTTTTCAGTGTGCAGCTATTTCCCATTTTGTCAGATATATCTATGTATTTCATATTTTTAGTGCTATTCTAAATTGTATTCTTTTAAAATTTCAACTTCTGATTGTTCATTGCTAGTATACAGACATATGACTGAGTTTTGCACATTAATCGTATCCTGCAACTTTGCTAAATTCAGTTATTATGTTAACTCTAGTAGCTTTTCTCATATTCCATCAGATTTTCCATATAGATGCTTGTATATTATCTTTCTAAAAAGACTGTGTGCCTTTCCAGTCTGAATGTCTTATTTATTTACTTATTTACTTAGGCCTCATTGCACTGGCCAGAACCTCTAGGATATTAGAAGTGGGGAAAACTAACATTGTTGTCTTGTTGCTGATTTTTGAGCAAAAGTATTACTTATTCTCTTAAGTATTATATTAGCTGTAGTTTTTCATAGATGCCTTTTATTAGGTTAAGGGTGTGTTCCTTTCTGTTCCTAGTTGACTGAGAGTTCTTAGTAGGAGTGAATGTTAGATTTTTTTCAAATGCTTTTTCTTCCTCTATTGAAAGGAGCATACGCTTTTTCTTTTAAGTTTGTTAAAATATGAATCACATTGATTGATTTTCAGACATTAAGCTGACCAGGTATGTTGGCTCATGTCTGTAATCCCAACACTTTGGGAGGCCAAGACAGGAAGATTGCTTGAGCCTAGGAGTTAAAGAACAGCCTGGGCAATATAGTGGGACTATATATATATGTAATTCCATATATATATATATATATATTCCAGATAATTCCAGATATATATATATATATATATATATATATATATGCCAACTATGAATTTCTGACATAGATCTCCTTGGTCATGATGTATTATACTTTTTATATATTGTTTGACTAGATTTGATGACATTTTGGTTATAATTCTTGCACCTATCTTGATAAGGAATATTGTTTTGTAGTTTTTATTTTTCTTTAGTATCTGGTTTTTATATCAGGGCAGTGCTGGCCTCAGAATGAATTGGGAATTGGTATAGAATTGCTTTTATTTCTTTCTTAAATTGCTTGATAAAATTCACCACTAAAGTCATCTAAGCCTGAAGTTTTTCTTTGTGGAAAGATTTTTAACTAAAAGAATCAACAAGTATAGTGCTATTCAGTCTATCTATTGCTTCTTGAGTGAGCTTTGTTAGTTTGTTTCTTTCAAGGAAATTGTGTATTTCATGAAAGTTTTCAAATTTATTCAGATAAAGTTGTTCATAATTCCTTTATTACCCTTTCAGTATCTGCAGAATATTTTGTAATATGTAATGAGATCATCTCTGTTATTCTTAATATGGGTAATTTGTTTCTACTGTTTTTTCCTAATCCATCTGGCTAGAAGTTTGGCAATTTTACTTATCTTTTCAAAGAACCAGTTTTTGGTTTCAATATTTCTTGTTTTCATTTTCTGGTTCATTGATATCTGTTCTCAGAGCTTTATTATTTTATTTCTTCTGTTTACTTTGGTTTTTATTTGCTCTTCTTTTTCCATATTCTTAAAATGGAAGTTTAGGTCATTGATTTGAAACTTTTCTTCTTTTCAAATGTAAATATTTGCATAAATTTCCCCCAAGTACTCCTTTGGTGACATCCCACAAATTTTGATATGTTGCGTTAAAATTTTCGTTCAGTTCAAAATACTTCTCATTTCCCTTTTGATTTCTTTTTTGATCCATGGGTTATTTAGAAGCATTTTCTAGTTCCAAATATTTGAGGATTCTTTTCAGGTATCTTTTTGTTACTGATTTCTAATCTAAAACTATTTTGGTTAGAGAACAAGCTTTGTATGGCTTGAAGCCTTTTCAATGTATTGAGACCGGTTTAATGGAACCAAATATTGTTGATCTTGGTAAATATTCCATGTGCACTTGAAAAGAATGTGTGTTTGCTGTTTTGCATGAAGTATTGTGTGAATGTAAATTATTAAGTCAATTGGGTGTTAGCGCTGTCCAGTTTTCTGTCCCGATTTTCTGTGTACTTATTTTCTTGATTCTTGAAAAAGGGAATTGAAATCTTCAACTACAATTGTGGGCTTTTCTATTTTTTTTAAATATAGATTAGGTTTCAAAATATGACCTGCACATCAAATGCAGTGAATAGTCAGAGTGGAAAATTATTATTATTAGCATTATTATAAAAGGCCTCATTAGAACACGTCTTTGGTTTGCCCTATAGTATGGGTTATTTGGAACATATCTTCATATGCAAAAGAAACATTTACTACATTTTATTATTTTTCTAATTCATGTTCTTGTTTTGCTTGGCAGCTTCGATGTTTTTGAAGCAGGCATTTGAAGGAGAATACCCTAAATTATTACGTCTTTATAATGACTTATGGAAGCGTCTTCAACAATACAGTCAGCATATCCAAGGGAATTTTAATGCAAGTGGAACTACAGACCTCTATGTTGACCTACAACACATGGAAGATGATGCACAAGATATATTCATACCAAAAAAGCCAGATTATGAGTATGTTTGTTTAATTTGACCTGTTAGTTGGCATCTTAATTTTATTTTTATTTTAAATTTTATCTTTTATTTTTATTTTAAATTATAAATTAAGTATATACCAAGTCTCTAAATATTTGTAGTTTATTTGTATACCTTAAAAGACTTTGCAAGACTTTTAACTGAATAAGTCAATTTTTCACCCTTAGTTGAACACTTGTGGCTCCTGCTGGAGTCAATTTTAAAGTGTAACACTAAGTAGGATGATGAGAAGCTAGAAGATGATCATGCTGTGGTCATTGTATTTTAATCGATGTTATAATATACCTGTAATTACCTCAGACAGTATCATTTATTGATGGACCACTTGCATAAATGTGACATAAAAGGAACTTGGGTGTTCAGAAACTACAGGGGAGATAAATCTTATGCTGGGATAGGTTCTCAGTCAATGTGTTAACAAAAAGCAGAGTGGATCACTAGGTCAGGAGTTCGAGACCAGCCTGATCAACATGGTAAAACCCCGTCTCTACTAAAAATACAAAGATTAGCTGGGCATGGTGGCGCTCGCCTGTAATCCCATCTACTCGGGAGACTGAGGCAGGAGAGTCGCTTGAACCCGGGAGACGGAGGCAGCAGTGAGCTGAGATCACGTCACTGCACTCCAGCCTGGGCGACAAAATGATACTCCGTCTCAAAAAAAAAAAAAAAAAAAAAAAGGCAGAATGTACTCATCCCTTGGGTATTTGTAGGGGATTGGTTCCAGGACCCATTGGGAAGCTCAAGTTTTTTAGGTAAAATGACATAATATTTGCATATAACCTATGCACATCATCTCTAGGTTACCTATAATACCTAATACAATGTAAATGCTATGCATAGAGTTATTATACTATATTGCTTAGAGAATGATAAGAAAAAATGTGAATAAATGTTTCATTACAGCCACGACCATTGTAGGCCTAAATAGGTTTTCAATCCATGGTTGGTTTAATCCTTGGATGTAGAATTTGCAGAAATGGAGGTCCAACTGTATAGTTAAAATTACCCCTGAAAATCTCTTAGGTCACCCATGAAGTATAGTAGTATAGCCATATTTAGGAGCCATATTGGAAACCAGTATACCATCTCAGCAAGTTTAGCCCGCCCAGCTTTTCCTCCAAAATTGAAAGAGTATTTTAAACTTTCAATTTGAGCATCAGATCAAGTGATTGGCTTTCACACCTTTCTTTAAACACTAGAATCATATTTATTGTGTCAAGGCTGGCTAAAGCAGTAGCAGTTTCTTATCACCTATCTTGTAAGAAAAATGTTGGATAGACTCATGGGTGCTGTTTAAACAGTTGTTTGTTTCTCTTTTAATTTTATTCCTAAATACATATAGTTGAATTTGTGTCCAGTATAGTTAGAAGCTCTGACTGGCAGAATACAGTATATGGAAGTTCTGACTCGTGCTGGGCAGTGTGACACATGCTTGTAATCCCAGCTACTGGGGAAGGTCTCTTGAGCCTAGGAGTTAGAGGCCAGCCTGGGCAGCATAGTGAGACCCTGTCTCTCTTTAAAAAAAAAAAAAAAAAAAAAGAGTAGTTTTGACTGGCAAAATAAATGGCCATGATAGGTTAGAATCATAGAATGAGACCAGATTATCTTCTCAATAACTCTTTTATAATAGGCAGATTCAGTAAGTCCTAATAGAGAGGGCAAAAGAGAACAGAACCTATGTCTGTTGATCTGCAAAGATTTAATGATATATCATATTTTTTAAAAGTATATATAAAATAGCAAATATAGTATTCTATTTCTGCCTTAGTTTTATTTTTAAATCTATGTGCATGTACTAAAAAAGGTCTAGAAATATACAAAGCAAACAGTAACAGTTATTTCCAGGAGGTGGAATCCTAATTTTGTATTTTCTGCTTTTATGTAAAATGAATATATGTTCCTTGTGTGAAAGAAAGAAAAAGAAAGAAAGAGAAAGAAAAGAAAAGAGAGGGAGAGAGAGGGGAGGGAGGGAGGGAAAGAAGGAAGGAAGGAAGGAAGGTAGGTCACTGTGTGAGGAAGGAAGGGGAAGGGAAGGGAAGGAAAAGAAAGAAGAAAGACCGTGAACTTTGGAAGGCCAACGTGGGCAGATCACCTGAGGTCAGGAGTTCGAGACCAGTCTGGCCAAAACAGTGAAACACCATCTCTACTGAAAAAAACAAAAAATTATGTAGGCGTGGTGGTGCATGCCTGTAATCCCAGCTACTTGGGAGGCTGAGCAAGAGAATGGCTTGAACCTGGGAGGCGGATGTTGCAATGAGCCGAGATCGTGCCACTGCACTCCAGTCTGGGTGACAAAGCAAGACTCAGTCTCAAAAAATAAATAAAATAAAACAGTAAATTCAATGGAGGCAAAACAAATTAGAGTAAAAAAAGCTACTGTGTTTTCACTAATAGGATATTATTGTCACTTTTTGGAGATGAATTCAGTAATGTGGTTGGTGAGGAAAACGAGATATAGGAGGCCATATTCGAAGATGTCAAAAAATCTTGAGGGTTCAAGGACACAAACAAGGAAGAGTTGAGTTTTCATAGATGGAAGTAGCCAGTGGAGAGAAAAAGAGATGGGAGATGTAAGAAAGAAAAGAGAAAATGAATGGAATCAGGCCCTAGAGGAATCAGAACAGAATCAAAACATGAATAGCCAGGATATCATTTTTCATGATTCATTACTTGTGTCAAATTTTCAGTATTGATAATTGCTATGAAGCAAATAAAACAATGCTGTAGAGTTGCTTACTATATAGGATGTCAGAGAAAGCTTCTATGAGGAGGTAACATTTGACCTGAGATCTAAATAGTGTGGAAGAATCAACCATGAGAAATTTAGAGTAAGGTTTTTGCAGGCAGAAGAACAAATTTAGAGACCTTAGGAAAATTAAGACTGGGTACGGTGTGGTGGCTCACGCCTATAATCCAAGCACTTTGGGAGGCTGAGGAGGGTGGATCACTTGAGGTCAGGAGTTCGAGACTAGCCTGGCCAACATGGTGAAATCCTGACTCTACAAAAAAAAAAAAAAAATATATATATATATATATATATATATATATATATATGTGTGTGTGTGTGTGTGTGTGTGTGTGTATATGTGTGTGTATATATATATGTGTGTATATATAGATGTGTATATGTGTGTATATATGTGTATATATATATGTGTGTATATATATATGTGTGTGTGTGTGTGTGTGTATATATACACACACACACACACACACACACACACACACACACACACACAAATCCAGGCATGGTGGCACATGCCTATAATCCCAGCTACTCAGAAGGCTGAGGCAGGAAAACTGCATGAACCCAGGAGGTGGAGATTGCAGTGAGCTGAGATCGCGCCACTGCACTCCAGCCCAGGCAACAGAGCAAGATTCTGTCTCAAAAAAAAAAAAAAAAAAAAGAAAGAAAATTAAGATGAGGAGGTTTGAAGAACAGAAAGAAGCCAGTGCAGCTGGAACATAGTGAATGAAGAAGGGAAGTGTTTAAGATTGGATCAGAGAGGAAAGGAAATGTGAGATCAGGTAGAGCTTTACAGGCAATGGTAAAGGGCTTGGAGTTTATCTTAATAAAGTGAGAAACCATTGATTTAGAGGAATGATGTGAACTGATAAACATTTTAAAATTAGCACTCTGACTGCTATGTAGACAACTTAGGGGGGGCCAGCACAGAGTTGGAGAAGTGGAAGATGGAAGCTATTTTGTTTATCCAGATAAGAGATGATAATGACTTGAACTAGGATGAGCAGATGAGGTGGTAATTTGGTTAGATTGATTCAAGATGTATTTTTGAAACAGGATATGTAGAGGGCAAGCCATGGATTTGAGAGGACAGGGGAATCAAGGATACGACTAGTTAATGGAAGACTGACTGGTTAAGATAGGAAAAATTTTTTCAAAGCATTGTATTTAATTAATATTTTTCTTTTGAAACTGGTGAATTGAAAATGCAAATAGAGTTGTTGAAAAGGTAATTAAATATGAGTCAGGGCTGGAAATATGTATTTGGAAGTAATCATGCACTTATTTTTATTTTTATTTTTTTAGATGGAGTCTTTGCTCTGTCACCCAGGCTGGAGTGCAGTGGTGTGATATCTGCTCACAGCAACTTTTGTCTCCTGGGTTCAAGCGATTCTCCCACCTCAGCCTCCCGAGCAGCTGGGATTATGGGCACACACCACCATGCCCAGATAATTTTTGTATTTTTAGTAGAGACAGAGTTTCGCCATTTTGGCCAGGCTAGTCTCGAACTCCTGACCTCAGGTGATCCATCCACCTCAGCCTCCCAAAGTGTGGGATTACAGGCCTGAGTCACCGCACCCTGCCATCATCATGTACATTTTTTTAAATCGTGGAATTGGAAGAGATTACATAGGGAAGTTATATATGGAGAGAAAAGAGAGCCTTGGCCCAAGAAAGGTACCAGCATTTATAGATTAGACAGTGGAATGGCAGCCTACAAAGGAGACAAAGACAGAAAAAGTGGTGAGATAGGAGGACAACTAAAAGCAGTGTGGAGCCCCAAAGAATGAGTTCATTTAAGTTGGAGTCCAGAAATGGTCCTAAGAGCAAACAGCAAAATGAAGAAACATCTATTCAAGAAAGTCTAGGAAAATGTGGTCAGAAAAACTGGAGCCTGTGGTATTTGAGTCAAGATTGTTCCCGTCTTACCCGCCTTAGCTTAGTGAAGTGGAGATCGTTCTCTAGACTGCAGTAGCCAAGAACACAGGGCTCCCTCCTAGCTCTCAGCTGGAAGGCTCTCTTCCTGGGAAGAGCAGGGCCTCAACATTTCTAATAATGACCTCAGCAGAAAGCTGCTGAGGCTAACTTTCAGGTAAGCGAGGTCAGGAGTAGGGAGCTCCCATATTGTGCCCAATTCCCACGCAATGAATGGGTCCTTGAGTATGGCAGGCTCAAAGTACTGGGGCCCTAATTACCTTTGCCTGGGCTTTTGAAATAGTGATTCTTTGCTGGGAAATATAAACTGAAAGGACCTCATGCAATTGCCTTCCACCAAGTGCTCACTTCCTAGAATGAGGTTGTTCCCAGACCAAACTGAGGGTTGGGCTGCTATTTCTTGCTGCCCAATAACAAGATGCAGAACTGGAGAGGAGGAGAGTTTTTTATTTCTGTAACCAGTTGCAGGGATAAGGCCCAGAAAATATTGCCACACCAACTCAAAATTACAAAGTTTTCCAGAGCTCATATACCTTCTAAGCTGTATGTCTACATGTAAGTGTGCATTTATCTAAAGACATAAGTGATTAGCTTATTTTAATCTATAAGTTCTGAGTCTTGAAGACCTTCCTCTGGAGCCTCAGTAAATTACTTCATCTAAATGGGCCCCAGGTGCTGGGGTGATTACTCTTATCTTCTCTCCTACTAAATCATGGAGGTTTGGGGAGTTCTTTAGACTACCTATAAACTTGTTTGTGGAGGCCTGGAGAGTTTCTTCAGATCCTGAGTAAAACTTTTTAAATCCTAAACGGGTCCTGTTAAGAATTCCTTCGTTATCTTGTCATGCTTTAAGGCCCAGGAAAGGCCTAAGGAAAACTCTTGGTAGGCTTTTGTTATATCTCAACCTTTGTATAAGGACATGGGCTCTTTCAGCTTTTAATATTTAGCTTAACCACTCAGTCAGTTCTAAAAGTTGTTATGGAGGCCTACATTAGTGAGACCTGGTCTTCTACAAGGTGTCAGTCAGAAAGAAGCTTGCCATTTTCTCCACCCTCAGGTCCAGAGCCCTGGCATAAAGATTTTTACTTGGGTAGAGGCAGGCAATAAAACAGGTCCTGGGTCAGACATGGCAGTCGGTCAGCAGTTTGGGAGACCAAGGCAGGCAGATGGCTTGAGCCCAGGAGTTTGAGACCAGCCTGAGCAAAACAGACCCCGTCTCTACAAAAAATAAAAAAGTTAACTGGGCTTGGTAGTCCACACCTGTAGTCCCAGCTACTTGGGAGGCTGAGGTGGGAGGATCACTTGGGCCTGGGAAGTCAAGGCAGCAGTGAATGGGGATCACACCACTATACTCCAGCTTAGGTGACAGAGCAACACCCTTTCTAAAAGAAGGAAATAGAAAAAGAAAGGCAAAGAAAGGAGAGGAGGAAGGGGAAAGGAAAAGGAAAAAAGAGAAAAACAGCCTCTATTCTCTTCCCCAAGTAAGTGACTTCATTTGCAACTGAACCTGGAGAAGTTTAAACCTAAGGGTATTCTCAAAAAAACCCTGGCAGTGTGGTGAAAGGCAATGGGAGGAGACTTGTAGTTCTAGTGAAGATAGCTGAAGGTAAGCTAGCTCCAAGGAGAGATCCGGAGAATAAGACAGCTGGGAGGAGCCCCTCCTGGAATCAGAGCAGATATCAAACATGACCTCAGAAAGGTTCTATCAAAGGAGCTACAATTAGCTCCTTTGTAGATTCCTTTGTAGAGGAGTTTTTGCCTCAAGGCATTGTTGAAAATGTAGAGCAGTCAGTTAATGGAGTTTAGTATCTGGGTGTGGTCAGAAAAAAAATGAGGAAGATAATCCTGCCATTAGCACTGCCATCTCAAGGTGACTATTAGCATACCCAAAGCTGTGTCTAGCTGAGGAACATCAGAGATTTAAGACTGTGGGAGAGAGATAGACTTCATTAAAATAATCCAGCCAATCACTAAACAGATAAAAAGCAAACAACAATAACAAGCCTTAGAGCTGCGGGGACCAGTACCCAGAGTTGCAACAATGTATCTAAAATGCCCAGTTTTGGCTGGTTGTGGTGGCTCATGCCTTCCTTTAGTTCTGTGAATAGCTTTGACCTGGCAGAGAAAAGAATTCACCAACTTGAAGCTAGGGTGATAGAGATTACACAAGTCAAAAAAACAGAAAGAAAAGAATGAAGAAAATAAACAGAGCCTCAAATAAATGTGGGATACCATTAAGAATACCAACATCTATGTTATAGGAATACCACAAGGAGAGGAGAGATGTAATGGAGAAAAAAACTTGAAGAAATAGTGAATGAAACCTTCCCAGTTTTTTGAAATACAATAGCCTATCCATCCAGGAAGCTCAACAAACTCCAAGTAAGATTAATGCAAAAAGACCCACAAACAGATACATCGTGGTAAAAATGTCAAAAGTCAGGGACAAAACCCTGAAAACAGCAAGGGAAAAACTATACAATCGGCTGGGTGCGGTGGCTGACGCCTGTAATCATAGCACTTTAGGAGGCCAAGGCAGGAGGATCGCTTGAGGCCAGGAGTTCAAGACTAGCCTGGGCAACATAGTGAGACCCTGTCTTTACCCACTCCCCACGCCCCCTTCCCAAATACAACTATACTTCACTTACAAGGGAGTCCCAATAACATTAACAGCTGACTTCTCAGCAGAAACAAAGGATGCCAAAAGGTAGTGGGCTCAGATTGCTCAAAGGAAAAAAAATGAGCCAAGAATCCCATGTCCAGTAAAGCTGTCCTTTCAAAAATGAAGGCAAAATACTTTCCTTGATTTAAAAAAGAGAATTTGTTGCTAGCATTCCAGCTTACAAGAAATACTAAAGAAAGTTCTACAGGCTGAAAGCGAGTGACCCCAGATAATTCGAATCCCCACAAAGTAAAGGTAATTATGAAATTATAAAAGACAATATAAACACACATTTTCTTCTTCTCTTAACTGACCTAAAAAGCAATTATATAAAATAATATGTATCGACTGTATAAAACAAAAAGTGTCTGAGACAGGTCTCTATTAATTTAGAGGTTTATTTTGCACAGGTTAAGGATGTGCCTGGGAAGAAGAGACTCTAGTCACTGAAGGATCTGAGACCTGGATTTTTTCCAAAGAGGGTTTTGAGGACTTCAAGATTTAAAGGGGAAAGAGTGGGCAGGAAGGGAAGGGGAAAAGAAAAAAAGTGGGGAGGGTAGGTAGTGAGATAAGTGGTCACATTCTTGTGAGGCTTTGATTAGCACTCACTGAATCCACATGTTACATGTGAAAGAAGAGGGTACAGGAACAGTCAGTTATGCATTTGTTTCATGTTCATCAAATCTGCATTTGTCTCATAGTGGGCAGTAGAATTATTTCTAATATTGTCATTGTACCTATATGTGAAGATAAGCTGTTAATTTACAGGATCAGGGTGAGGGAGGCCACCTGGAGAGAGATGTGGCCTTCCATCTTGCAGCTGTTTGGGAACAAAGGAAAGGCAGTTTTTTTGCATAACTCAATTTCCAAGCTTAACTTTTATCTTTGGCATAGCAAGTTTGGCACAGGAGGTAGGTAGGAACAAAGCTGAAATTTTCTAGGAAATGATGACAGATAGTAAAATAGTAATTATAACAATTCATTGTTGGGTTTATTAACATTAACAGATGTAATATGTATAACAACACCACAAAGATAAAATATTTAGGAATAACTTTAACAAAAGGAGTGCAAATTTATACTCATAAAACTGTAAAATATTGTTCAAAGAAATATCTAAATAAGTAGAAAAGCATCTCATCTTCATGAATTGCAAGACTTGACCTTGTTAAGATGGTAATGCCCCCCAAATTGATATATATCGATTCAGTACAGTAACTATCACTATCAGAATCTCAGCTGAGTTCTTTGTAAAAAGTAACAAGTGCTTCTAAAATTCATAAGGAATTTCAAGGGACCCAGAATAGTTAAAACAATATTGAAGAAGAAGAAGAAGAAAAAGAGTGTAGGAGGGCTCACAAGTCACTACAAAGCAATTTTAATCCCTATGGTATAGTACTGCCTGGCACAAGGATAGACATAAAACTGAGAGTATAGAAGGAAACCTGTAAATCTATGGTGAGTTGTCTTCAAAAAGTGTAAAGACCATTCTTTCAATCGAGAAAGAATTATCTTTTAGACAAATGGTGCTGGGACAGCTGATAGTGACATGCAAAATAATGAAGTGGTGCCCTTCACATCATATACAAAAATTAACTCAAAATGGATCAAAGATTTAAATATTAGATTAAAAATATAAAACAAGGCTGGGCACAGTGTCTCATGTCTCATGCCTGTAATTCCCAGCACTTTGGGAAGCTGAGGTGAGAAAATCACTTGAGTCCAGGAGTTTGAGTCCAGCCTGGACAAGATAGGGAAACCCCATCTCAATCAATCAATCAATGTAAAAATTAAAAATATAGATAAATTTTTAAATATATATATATATATATATATATATATATATATATATATATATATATATATATATCTCTGTTAGAAAACATAGGGGCAAATCTTCATGCATTAGGATTTGGTAAATAATTCTTAGACATGACAGCAAAATCACAATCAACAAAAGACAAAATTATATTTAAATGATATTTTGGACTTTCTGAAAATTAGAAACTTTGCTGCTTCAAAGGATTACCATTAGGAATGGGTGAAAATATTTCTGACTCATAGATCTGGCAATTGACTTGTTTCAGAATATATAAAGAACTCTTTTCAATTCAACAATAAAAAGACAAATTACCCAACTAAAAAGTGGACAAGGGATCTGAGCAGACATCTCCAGAAAACATAGATGACCAATAAGCACATGAAAAAGATGATCAGGAAAATACAAATCAGAACCACAATACAAATCAGAACCACTATGTCACGCCCCCTAGGATGTCTATAAACAAAAAGACAAATAGTAGCAAGTGTTGTCAAGGATGTTGAGAAATTACTATCCTCATATGTTGCTGGTGGAAATCTAAACTGGTACAGGGCCTTGGAAAAGGGTTTGGCAGTTCTTCAAACTTTTTTTCTTGAAACTGGGTCTCGTTCTGTAGCCCAGGCTAGAGTGCAGTGGTGCAATCACAGCTCACTGCATCCTCTAACTCTCCGGCTCAAGCAGTCCTCCACCTCAGCCTTTGAGTAGCTGGGATTACAGGCGTGCACTCCCATGCCTGACTAATTATTTTATTTTTTGTAGCGGCGAGGTTTAACTTTGTTGCACAGGCTGGTCTTGAACTTCTGGGCTCAAGGGATCCTCCTGCCTCAGCCTCCCAAAGTGTTGGGATTACAGGCATGAGCCACTATGTGCGGCCTCTTCAAACTATTAAACATAGTTACCATATGACCCAGCAGTTTCGCTCCAGATGTATACCCAAGGGAAATAAAAACATATGTTCACGTAGACATTTGTATGCAAATGTTTGTAGCAGCATTATTCCTGATAGCCAAAAGATGGAAACAACCAAATGTCTGTCAACAGACAAATGGGTAAACAAAATGTGCTATATTCATACAATGAAATATTACAATTAAAATATATACAATATTAGCCATAAAAAGAAATGAAGTACTGTACATGCTGCAACATGGATGAACCTTGAAAACATTATACTAAGTGAAAGAAGACAGTAAAACACACACATACACAGATACACACAGTATATTATCCCATTCATATGCAAATCCAGAATAGCAAAATCTATAGAAACACAAAGTAGATTAGTGATCGATTGGGCCTGGGGATGGAGTGAGGAAGGTGGAGTGTTGTAGTTAAAGATACAAGATTTCTTTTTGAGGTGATAAAATGTTCTAAAATTGACTGTGGTGATGATAGCACAGATCTCTGAATATACAAAATTCATCAAATTGTATACTTTCAGTGATTGAATTCAAGTGGTGGTATGCTATGTAAATTATATATATGAAAGTTGTCAGATTCGACATGGAGTCACTTGTGTCAAAGCCTGGCAAAATAGAGCTGGGGGACGGTTATGAAGGGAGAGCTGTCACACATGATTTGCCTGATAACAAGAACTATCACAAGAAATTTTTCTCAACTGCAGCTTACTACACAAGTCACACAGGGACAGCTAGCCACTTAAACAAGAACATTTGCCTGACACACTATCTCACAAGCCCAATCCAAACTGCAAGGGCCTAACCATAACACTAAAATTGCAAGTCCTACTTTGCAATTTACTGACACTCACCAATCAGAACTCACCAGCTCTTATATAAGATGCTGCCAGTGCCAGTAAACTGTCTTTGAAAACAACTTGCATAACCTCCTCTTCCCCCAATAAACTCCAGCCTTTCTTTTGTTTTCCAAACATACCAGAGGCCACCCTGTTCTGTCTGTAGGTCCAAGATAGCAATCCTGCTTCTCGTATGTTATTCCCCAATAAAACCTTTTTACTTAGAGATATGTCTTTATATTTTTTATGCTGACATATCTTTTTCCTTTATTTTTTTAACTGACACATAATATTTATACATATATAGAGTGATGCTGTGATACATGTATAGCGATCAGATCTGTGTAAGAAGAGAATGGGATAAGAAGAGATAGATTAAATTATTCTGGGAATTTTTTATTTTAAAAAAAGGAGTGAGGTTACCTCTTTCATTGAAATAATAAGAAAGTCACAGAGAATAGATGAAGTTGTAAGAGGGAAAAAAACAAGAGAAGTGCCACGTTGAGAAAGGTCACGGCCAGTGGTTTTCTCTTAGGGTAAAACCAAGACAAAAGTCATCTATAAAGATTGAAGAGTTGCACAAGTAGAATTTTAGGTTATTACTTTGACCTTCAGGTCTCTTGATTTTAAAGAAGTTTGTATAAATGTCCAGTAGAAATCATTTTTTCTCTGAAGTACTTGGCCAGCTTAGCAGCAGATACAGAGAACATCTCAATAACATTTTCTTAGAACTTTGAAAGGAAGGTGAATTGGAAAAATCAGGGTGCTAATGAGAGCACCTTGAAATGATGGCTATGGAAAAAGGATGACTATAGACATGGTGGGCTGATGGAGGCTGGAAGCAAGAAGGGGTCATGTAGCATAAATTACAATAAGGTCAAAGAACAAGTTCTTTAGAGTAAAATATACCACCCTTATAGATATGCAAAGCCTAACATGACGTCCATCTGTTTTCTCTGATATTATCTTGTACTACCCTCCTGTTACTTGATCTGCACCTCTGGCCAACACAGCCAGGTATGGTCTCTCCTCAGGGCCTTTGTACTTGCTGTTCTTTCCTCATGGAAAGCAATTTCCCTGAAAATCTACACAATTAGCTCCCTCTTTTCCTTCAGGGCCCCTCAGTAAGCCTTCCTTTGCCTCATCCTATCTAAAATCGGATGGAAAAGGAAAAAAGACTTAAGCATTATTCTCTATCTTCCTTGCTTTATTTTTCTCTTAGCACTTATCATTATCATATTCCATATTTAACTTATTTTAAATTTTTATTTTTGTGTATATCTCTCCTGTTACTGTGTAAGCTTTAAGAAGACAGGGAATTTTTTTTTTTTTTTCTTGACAGAGTCTTGCTGTGTCGCCCAGGCTGGAGTGCAGTGGCATGATCTTGGCTCACTGCACCCTTTCCTCCTGGGTTCAAGCAATTCTCTCTCAGTCTCCTGAGTAGCTGGGATTACAGGCACATGCCACCATGCCACCAGGTCCGGCCGGGAATTTTTTTTTTAAAGCAAGTTCTCTACTATATTTCTGCACCTAGGAAATACTTGGCAAATATTGTAGTGACTTAATATTTGTGGAAGGAAAAGTAGAGATAGAAGGTGGGGCATGTAGACAGTTTCCTTTAAGCTTGAAGATCTTAGAGGTGGAGCAGTTCAAAGTGATGACTCAAATTTGGAAGCCCCCTAGTAAAGCCAAAAAAGGTTATTATAAATGTAGACTTTTAATATAGGACATATTTTAGAAAAGATGTTTGACATTGTAGTTACCAAGGATCTTTAACGGTAGATTTGGAGAACGGGAAAGTGTTAGTTCTTATAATTCAGTGCCAAAATTTCTGCAGAAGTGGGAAGAGGCTTCTGAGGTCAGTAGATGTCATGAGTAAAAATAGTGACATTTAAATAGATGGCTCGGACTTCAACAGAGGATTGCTTCAGACACATTTAGATACTAAGTTCTTTCATGCTTCCATCATGGTCTTGGTATCTTCATCTATTACAGAAATTATTATAATTAGCATTTTACCTGCCAATTTCTTCACAAGACTGTAAAGCACTCTTAATCTCTATCTTCCCAGCACTTTACAAAGTGCCTGGTGCGTAGTATTCTCAGTAAATATGTGTTGAGTGAAATACTTACTGAATGAGAAAACATTAAGAGATAACTATGGAATTATGATGTTGGAGCCAAGAGCATTCTGATCTCTAGGTCATATCAGTGGACCAGAAGGGTGAGAAAAAGAGAAAGCCAAGTTTCATATACATGAAGGAGCAGGTTAGATGTTTTAAAGGTTAACTTTTTAGATGAAGGAAAATTTGTTGTTTATAAAAGAAAAAAGACAATGCAAAAGCTGGTGGAAGGATTGTAAACAGGGATGATGTGAGAAGACAATTAATTATAGGAGTAAGGAAACATGAAAATAATGGTTATAGACATTTGATAGTAATTGTCGAAAGAAAAATGTAAGATCAAATAGTTTGACTGCTAAATGAAAATCAGCATGAATTATTAAAGATATGGGAAGTGCAAGCAGGAAAGAAATGTTTCTCAGGTTACATTTGATGTTGTGAAGAATATTATAAAACAAAGTAGCATAGAACTCCACTTGGGAGTATTTACGTGATTTTAGGACTTCCATAAATACTTTTTATTTTGTCTCACTCTTGTTAGTAACACAAAAATGGAAAATGTAAAAACCTAAGTCTGTACACTTCCCTCTCAGTCAGTGAGCTTTACTGGGGAGGCAGCTATGGATGGAAAGGGCCAAGCTAATGGAGCAGGTCTCTGCAGGCTGGTCTTTCTTCCATATGCTTCGATAACTCTATAGGTATGATTTACAAGTAAAGGCATAGCCCCCATTAGCATTAATAGGATTTTACTGTTATTCTTTTAGTTTAAGGAAACAGATAATACAGTAGGTATTGGTGCATATTATTGTGCATTTATAGTGGGGACTTACGTAGAGATTAAAATGTTAATATAGGCCGGGCACGGTTGCTCACACGTGTAATCCCAGCACTTTGTGAGGCCGAAGCGGGTGGATCACTGGAGTCAGGAGTTTGAGACCATCCTGGCCAACATGGCAAAACCCTGTCTCTACTAAAAATACAACAATTAGCTGGGCATGGTGGCGGGCAGCTGTAATCCCAGCTACTTGGGAGGCTGAGGCAGGAGAATCGCTTGAACCCAGGAGGTAGAGGTTGCAGTGAGCCAAGATTGCGCCGTTGCACTCCAGCCAGGACAACAGAGTGAGACTACGTCTCAAAAAAAAAAAGGTTACTATGGTCCTGAATGTTTAATTATGAAATATATTGGTAAATATGTACGTTGTGAAACAAATTATTTTCTTTTTCTTAATATAGAGTTACATTTTTATGGGAGGTGCATTTTTTAAAAAGGTATTTACAGCCTGATACAATAGCATTTAGCTCTGTGCAATTTAAGTTAGTTTTTAAAAAATTTTGTTTCCACAGTCCAGAAAAGGCTTTGAAAGACTCACTACAACCCTATGAGGCTGCTTATCTATCAAAATCCTTATCTCGACTCTTCGATCCTATCAACTTGGTTTTTCCCCCGGGTGGTCGTAATCCTCCTTCCTCTGATGAACTTGATGGTATTATTAAAACTATAGCAAGGTATGTATTTTTTATATAGTGGCTTGCCATAAGATGACTGCCATATTTGTTAGTGATATATGATAGCAGTACCTTTTTAATTTATTTTCAAATTATTCAAGTAATTAGGCCCACAATTAAATTAAGAATTTTATAGTAAATGAGTGCACACATAGTAAGTACTTGAGATTCCAATTAATAAATAATTTAAATACCTTAAATATAGTCTAAAAACAGTCTATTATAATTATTCTATATCTTGCCAAGGATGCAAAGTAAACCTAGCTCTTTGTATCATAGTAAATTTCTTACGTTACACAAGAAATCAAATATAATAAACGATTTTATAAATTGAGAAACTAAAACATACAGGTTAACTTTTTTTTATCCTAAACTCCAGAACGTGCTTCATGGCAGAAATAGGAATATAACTTTGATTAGCTTGTGTTCGCTATTTTAAGCTTTTTAAGTGAATGTGACAGCTTTTAAGACTAAAAAGGGAAGATATCCTAGCAGAGGTGCCACCTGAATGCCTGCAGACAATGTAATTATATACTGTTGGCTTTAGACACTTATTTAAAAGTTATCCAGACCAATTTGCAGTTGAAATTATCTCAGTTTCTGTCATGACTAACAAGTTGTCATAATAGTAGATCTGTACATTTGAGATGGACGTTTTAAGGAATAAAAAATAGTATGAGACTGAGGTCTAAATTCTTTTAAAGATTTGAAGATGGTGATTCTGAGGCGTGGAAGAGTAAGACTAAAAAGCCACAGGTGGCCAGGCATGGTGGCTCACGCCTGTAATCCCAGCACTTTGGGAGGCGGAGGTGGGTGGATCACCTGAGGTCAGGAGTTCCAGACCATCCTGGTGAAACGCCATCTCTACTAAAAATACAAAAATTAGCTGGGCCTGGTGGTGCACGCTTGTAACCCCAGCTACTCGGGAGGCTGAGGCATCAGAATCGCTTGAATCCGGGAGGCGAAGGCTGCAGTGAGCCGACATCACGCCACTGCACTCCAGCCTGGCTGACAGAGCGAAACCCTGTCTCAAAAAATAAAAATAAAAAGCCACATGTATAATAATATACATAAGCATATCTTTTGCTGCAAACGTACCTACAAATTGTCTAGATTGCCCAGCATCTTGGTCCTAAATCTCTCCACAATTGCCTTGACTTTCCTTCTGACTATAGGTCTTAGTAACTTGATCTCTTTGACCTGTTTATGTAAATGTTAAAGAGGAATCTCTCCCATTCCTCTGTGCAACTTGACAATGCTATAATCAAATATAATCTACAACTGGAAGAATCATGCTTATGCTAGTGTTTAATAAAATTTAAAAGTGAACATTAACAAAATTATGTCTCAATACTGTATGAAAGTGCATTTTTGTTACACATAGTATGCTCTAGTATTGTTTCAAACTTTCAACTTCTTTAAAAAGAGAATCTGGTAAGATTTACTCTACTACTTTAGGGACAATAATTTTCTTGCTTTCCATCTGTATATGGGTTTCTATATTATTTTTAATTTCTAGTGTTCTTTCCATGGTCTTCGTAAAATACTTTTTTTTTTTTTTTTGGCAGTCAGATCAAATACCCCAATTAATCCAATGTTAAAGTTGAAGCATGACAAAAATATACTTTAAGAATCCGAATTTTAAAAATTTGTAATTATAGTCCTGTTATGCTTTTATATTATTTAAAAAGCTACTCTATTGAAACTAGCATGAATTGGCATAATTTCTACAGAAGCTGAGTATCTTTATATATCATGTGTAATTTATATTTTTAGCCTATGTCCCTTTAAGGTCATCATTTCCATTCAAGAGCTGTCATTTCCTTGCAGATGTCTGTGATATGCAATGCCTCTGCTTGCACTTTATCAGTATTAGCAAGAGTGCTACTTTAAAAATCTGTACACAATTTACTCCTTTAATCACAGACTGAACCCACATATGACATGCTTTTGTTAATGAGAAACTGGTCATTAAGGAAGCCATCTCCAGGTACTTTTTCCAAGTGCTGAAATTAGGGGGTAAAATGAAACAATGCAACCAGTTCTTGGAAGCAGTGAAATCTATAAAAAGAATAACCACATTGCTTATTGGGTTTGAGTTTTTATCTTGCTCTTTACTTTGTTGATGAATGATGTTGCTAATATTTAAAAACTGTTTTCATTTTCTCCAGTGAACTAAATGTTGCTGCTGTTGATACAAACCTCACATTAGCTGTGTCAAAAAATGTGGCAAAGACCATCCAGTTATACAGTGTAAAATCAGAGCAGCTTGTAAGTGGTTTCCTTTATCTGTAAACTTTAATGATTTTATTTAAAATTACTAACTATATAATACTTGACTAATCATAAATATTGAATTGACTATTTACTTACTTCCATTTTTACTGTAGTGAAAGTTTGTAACTTCCTGATGAATTTAAACCAGAAAAAAAATTTGTTAACAAAAAAATGGCCCTCCTACACATTGTCAATACACTTTCAGAAGACAAGCAAGTTTTATAAGGTTTCCTTTTTTAACGCATGTGCCAATTAATGGCCTAATTATATATTTTTAAATATTTAAATATTTTAGTAATTTACATAAATTATAATTATGCATGATCAATCAAGTTTTCCCTTTTGTGTGACCACTAACTCCATATATCATTCATGCATGGTCACCTAGTATGAAATTGACTTGAACTGTTAGAAAACTGTTGGAGGAAGTAAAGTACGTAAAATTTTAGTAGAAAAATGTTTATTTACTTTTTAAAGATTCCAACCCTAGAACCTGGGAATTTAACCCTAAAATTATTCTATTTGAAATAGCTATATGCATGCATTTAAAATAATAAGTACATAATTGAATCATAATCTTAATTCTATACATTAATGTTTGAAAGTTAAGCACACATATTTCACTAGTATATATGTATGCTAATTGAAATCCAAACAAAATGAGACTTCAATATTTTTTTTTTACCATTATTGATATACTAATTTTAGACAGTGTGTCAAAATCTGATTGTCTCCACTATCTTTAGAATGTTAGCTAACTACGTTTTCAGTTTATCCTCTCTAACCATTCCCGGTTGAAATACCATAATAAACAAAATAATCTACTTTTATCTATATCCAAGTTGTTTCAGTTTGTTCTGTGATAATTTTTAGGGTAAGTTGGTGACATACTGAAGGATTTACATAAAATGATCCTTGGAGGTAACAGTCATGTTACGAGGCTTCCTTCTTTTAGTTCCCATGGATGGCCAGATTTTGTTTGCAAATATGGTACTATTTTCATTCAATTGATCTTGTAGTCTTGACAAAATCATCTTAGAAGCATCTTTTTAAGAACTTTATTGAAAACTAACCATACAGAGATATAGAAGCTCTTTGTAGGAAATTACTATGAATTTAGATTACTAATTTTTCTCTCAATCTTTGTTTAAATCTTTTTTATAATGTTCACTGCTTCAAAAACATGGTTATTGCTATAAATAAAATTCAGTGTTATATCTAGTAGAGTATAGTGTAATTACTGACAATGCTAAGATCTGAAGATAACACTGTAAGAAAGATCCAGCATGTATATAGAAAATACCTTGCATTGAGAGTAGGGAGGGACAGTGGTAATGGTAATATGTACTTCAGTTAACATAGTAATGGCAAAAGGCTTAGACGAAATCAAAATATCTGCAAACATTTCACTGAGTTGATACTGTTGATCAAATTGTCAGTGGCTGTAAATTACTTAGGCCTATCTAATGTACCTGCAGTGTTGAAGGCTAACAGAAAATCATTGTCATTTTTTGGTTTTTAATTGGATTATATCTTTTTTTATTAAAAATAGTTTTATTTTTCAACTTTCATTTTAGTGTATAAGGGAAGCTTAAGCATTAAATAAGATTATAAAAAACATCATATGCCTTATTTTTAAAAATATATTATTGACTAATGTCTTAAGTAACAACTTGCTGTTAATGTTTGTTTCTTGGCATTTAATAACACTCTTCTACCCCTCAATGTGCTAAAATTATACCTGTTTTGTTCTTTAATCTTTACAAATATTCCTATTTTTTTAGAATAATTTGACTGAAAACATTTAGAGGAAAATAGCCAAATTGTAAGTCTTTAGTGGAAGAAAGACTTGAAACAGATTTTTGAATTGGATAACTACTCTGCCTATAAATGGAAGTATTGACTTGAGATTTGGTATGAAAACTAAATCAATGAGTAGGAGATTCTTTTCAAAGATGAAAAATTTAAGCTTCCAGTCCACAAGATTAAGAAATGACAGAATCTGTTGTTTCCTGACTTTTTAATGATCGCCATTCTGACTGGCATGAGATGGTATCTCATTGTGGTTTTGATCTGCATTTCTCTAATGACCAGTGATGATTAGCTTTTTTTCATATGTTTGTTGGCCACATATATGTCTTCTTTTGAGAAGTGTCTGTTCAGACCCTTTGCCCACTTTTTGATGGGGTTGTTTGTTTTTCTCTTGTAAATTTGTTTAAGTTCTTTGTAGGTTCTGGATATTATCCCTTTGTCAGATGGATAGATTGCAAAACTTTTCTCCCATTCTGTAGGTTGCCTGTGCACTCCGATGATAGTTTCTTTGGCTATGCAGAAGCTCTTTAGTTTAATTAGATCCCATTTGTCAATTTTGGCTTTTGTTGCCATTGCTTTTGGTGTTTTAGTCATGAAGTCTTTGCCCATGCCTGTGTCCTGAATGGTATTGCCTAGGTTTTCTTCTAGGGTTTTTATGGTTTTAGGTCTTACATTTAAGTCTTTAATCCATCTTGAGTTAATTTTTGTATAAGGGGTAAGGAAGGGGTCTAGTTTCAGTTTTCTGCATATGGTTAGCCAGTTTTCCCAACACCATTTATTATATAGGGAATCCTTTCCCCATTGCTTGTTTTTGTCAGGTTTGTGAAAGATCAGATGGTTGTAGATGTGTGACGTTATTTCTGCAGCCATAAAAAAAGATGAGTTCATGTCCTTTGCAGGGACATGGATGAAGCTGAAAACCATCATTCTCAGCAAACAAACACAGGAACAGAAAACCAAACACTGCATATTCTCACCCATAAGTGGGAGTTGACCAATGAGAACACGTGGACACAGAGAGGGGAACATCACACACCGGGGCCTGTTGGCGGGTGGGAGGTAGGGGAGGGACAGCATTAGGAGAAATACCTAATGTAGATGAGAGGTTGATGGGTGCAGCAAACCACCATGGCACGTGTATACCTATGTAACAAATCTGCACGTTCTGCACATGTATCTCAGAACTTAAAGTATAATAAAAAAGAAAAGAACAGAAACGAAGGAAGAAAGGAAGGAAGGGAAGGAAGGAAGGGAAATCAGATCATTAATAGAATGCTCAAGCAGTGAGATAAAGGAAAGCTAGAATTTTAAAGATAAGCATGTTTTCAGAAAGAGTGACTTGCAAATACAACCTGAAATGTACATCGAACAGCTTTTCATAATCTGAAATGTATTTCCCTAAAGATTGGTTATAGAAGTCTCTTGGCTACTGAAACGTTTTAGTATACTTAGTTATAGATTTTATTCATATCAGGAGAAAGGCTTATAAAAGGTTTTTTCAAGCTGATTTTTAATATTCTGGGGTATAGTAGATTATAACATTAAATTACATATAGAGTGCGTTATATACTTATAATAATACATCTGAAATTATTTTTATGATTACGTATTTTTTTCCCTAAGGCTTTTCTGTTACTAATCACCAAAGGTATGTGTTATACAAACCTAAATCTCTGTAAGGATAAATCCTTCAGTCCTTCTGAATCCAAAGCGATACCAGAGAATTTATTTTTAAGAGTGAGGTTGGGCCACAAAAATAACTACCATCATTAACCTTTATAGTGAATCAGGAATTGTGCCAAGCCATTTATATATATTATTTCATTTATTTCACAACAATCCTATGAAATGAAAGTATTACTGTCCACCACTACAAAATGTAGAAATTGAAGCTGAGAACAGTTAATAGCATGAGTAATATAGACTACTAAAATTAGAATGCCTGGGAGCAGGTGTTGGCACTAGCATTCAAATCCAGACCAGACTGTAAAACAAGCTTGTCCAACTCGCCTTATTTTTCACTGTTGTTGTTCTCTTGTTTTTTTTAGGCTTTTAGCAGCCTGAAGCCATGGTTTTTAGTTTCTATCTCTAGTGCTAAGCAGAAACGTATAATGAGTAAGGGGCTTTACTGGCCTAACCAGAAACAGAAACTAAGAACCCACGACTGTATTCTCTCCCATGTTCACCTCTGCACCAACCTTTAATACTTTATTTCTGATCTGTAGCTTGTATATAAACATAACATCTTTTTTATTTAAGAAAAGTTGCATTGTGTTATACATATTGTTTTGTGAATTGCTCATTCATTTTACAATATATCAAGATCTACATTTACTATGTTAATACGTGCATAATATATTTTATTTATGTGTAGAATAGTTTATTTTACTTCTGTGCTCTTAATGTATAGTTAGATGATTTCATAGTTTAATTTTGAAATAATAGGGATTTAGCATTGATGCTTCACATCTGAGTTCTAAGCAATAGGCTTTAGTTCCTGCAATATGTGTTTAACTTAGTATGGGTCATGTGAATATCAGCTTTCTAGATGCTCTTTTGTAAAACTGAGATCAAGGTTTTTTAGATTTTCATTTAAAAATTCTTGTTTGTCTTGACAGCAATTGTGAGGTTATAATTAATTTACTAAGAATTTTATGTTTCAAATACACATATACCTATAGGTGTAATATCATAATATTTTATGATTAAACTGAACAAATTATTTAATGGTGATATATTGGGGATTTGTTTGTATAGTCTGAAATGTGACCTTTAGAAGAAAAGGTCACTAGACCTTACAGTGGAAAGTTTGGGGTTTTTTGTTTGTTTTTGAGATGGTCTCACTCTGTTGGCCAGCCTGAAGTACAGTGGCATGATCATGGCTCATTGCAACCTCTGCCTCCCAGGCTCAAGGTATCCTCCCGCTTCAGCCTCTGGGCATGCCAGCATGCCTAGCTAATTTTCTTATTTTTTGTAGCGATGGAGGGTCTCGCCACATTACTCAGGCTGGTCTCGAACTCCTGGGCTCAAATGATCCATAGCCTTGGCCTTCTGAAGTACTGGGATTACAGGTGTGAGCCACTGTACCTAGCCACAATGGAAAGTTTGAATTAGTGTTTTTCTTATCCTCTGTGTGTTAAAAGAAAACTAAAATATTAGTACATAAGGGAACTGTTGTGGCACCTTTAAAATTTATAGGCTTGTAAACTTTTTTGATATCAACTTTGGAGGCAAATATATTAATAAGTATCCCTTTTAAAAACTGAAGGGTATTTTCCAACAGTAACCATTATTTGATGGTTCCAGGGAATGGCATCTAGAATCTTAGTGTAAATGGCAAATGTTATGAACTGTGAGAAAGGAGATTGGCATTTAATCAGGTTGCAGACCATTTGAAACAATAATAGGAATGACATTTAAGGGGAGGTCTCAACTTCAATGCAGATCAGTAGCTATGTATGAGGTCAATAGTTCTAGACACTAAGGTTTTATTTTAAGGCTTTGTAAATATACACTTTATTCTTTATATAATTTTATAAGTTGGAGACTTGACATTCCTATGATGGAAAAAAACATACATGTGTGATATTTAAATGGTATAGAGACATATGAGCTCAAATATGAGTTCAATTTTTTTTTTTTAAGTTCTAAAAGTATTGGCCAGGTATGGTGGCTCATGCCTATAATCCCAGCACTTTGAGAGGCTGAGGTGGGCAGATCACCTCAGGTCAGAAGTTCAAGACCAGCCTGACCAAAATGGTGAAACCTCATCTCTACTAAAAGTACAAAAATTAGTCAGGTGTGGTGGCGCGCCAGGAGAATCGCATGAACCCAGGAGGCGGAGGTTGCAGTGAGCTTAGCTTGCACCACTGCACTCAAGCCTGGGCGACAGACCAAGACTCCATCTCAAAATAATTAAATAAATAAAAGTATTATTTAATGGAGATTTTAATGCCATCTACATGGATTATCACCCCATATATTATTATATGGTAATAGCTTATGTTGTTAATATGCAAAAAAAAAAAGATCAAAGGCAATATGAAATCACTTGGAAGAGTTTTTATATTATGTGCAAACAGATGAAACAAATCAGTAGTGTCTTTTTGACCAAACGCACTTTCTCTGTGATACAAACACACCAATCCCTTTAGGTTACCTAGCTAGCCTCTTGATCCTTTTTTTTTTTTTTAAGAGATGGGGTTCTCACTATTTTGGCCAGGTTGGTCTTGAACTCTTGGCCTCAAGCAACCTCCCACCTCGGCCTCCCAAAGTGAGCCACTGCGCCTGGCCCTCTTGATCCTTTAGATAGCCTGGCACTTTTTGTTACCTCTCTTCTTACGTTGGACTATTTTAGGATTACTTCATCCTTTCTTCAAGACAGCTTTCTGGCCTGACACACTGGCTATACCTATAATCCTAGCACTTTGAGAGTTCGAGACAGAAGGATTGCTTTGAGCCCAGTAGTCCAAGACTAGCTGGGGCAACATAGTGAGACCCTGTGTCTACAAAAACAGAAGAAAAAAAGATAGCTTTCTGACTTGCTTCTCAGACTTGTAAGAGCTTGATTTTCTGGGGGCTGTGGCAAGTCAATACTAGATGAACTGTCAGGACTAAGAGTCAGTAGATCATATTGAAAACAGAGAGCAATGACAATATTTTCAAGAGAAGGTAAAAAATTTGAAATTGTTAGTTAAAGCAGGTCAAAGTCTGTATTAGTTATATGTTGTCATAAGAATGCTGTGTAACCAACAACCGCTGTTGGCGTGGGTGACACGCAGTAAGCATTTATTGCTCATGCTTCTCGGGTCATATGGGGTGCTAGCTAGGTGTCTTTTCTGAGGTTGGCTGGGTTTACTCACAAGACTGGCTGGCTGCTGTTCTAGGCTGGCCTTAACCATATTAAAACTTCTGCTCTATTATACGTAGCTCTAATCCTGCAGCAGCCTATCCTGGGCCTGATCTCATGGTGAAGACGGGGCACAGGAGAGAAAATATTCCCGTAAGTCTCACCAAAACAACCCCTCCACAGTGCAAAATTAAATAGCAAAGAATGAAGATACAAAGGGGGTGAAGAGTGGGATGAATTATGTCATCTATCATAAAGCCAAATTGAGAGTATGCAACAATGAAAAAAGAGAGCTCATGAACTTTTTTAATTTTAATTTTTAATATTTAGAGACAGGGTTTCGCTATGTTGCCAGACTGTTATGCAGGGCGTATTCACAGGTGCAACCAATGTTCTCTAAAGCCCCAAACTCCTAGGCTCAAGCAATCCTCCTGCCTCAGCCTCTCAAGTAGCTGGGACTACAGGCAACTCCACCACACCTGGCTGAGCTTTTATTTTTATTCCCAAAGATGGACGCTCCCTACTTGAATCCTAATGGTGTGTTTGTGTTAAATTTTATGTCATTTGACACCACCTTCATTGCCAAAGAAGAGAGAAATTCATTGCTATGGTAATTTACTTAATGATTTCAGTTAATGCTAATATTACTATAAAAATCAAAAGACTTTTTCCTATATGGCTTTTAAATTATATATGTTGACCTCTTATCACATTTTCTAATCTTTATTGTCCTAAACCTCTTTTCATTACCACAGGCATATAATATTCAAACATTTTCCCTTTTCTATTTTTTTATCTTTCTCATTTAAAAATTTTTTTTCTTCATTCCAGAATATGAAGTTTTTTTAGTCTCTGAGTAAATGGAATCCTCCACACCCACCCTAGAAAATATTAGTATTAGAAGTTTGAAAAGAAATTGAGCAATTGAATCTTGAATTCAATTGAGCAATTGAATAACTTTTTACTTACCATGTTATCACTTCAGTACCATCAGGAAGATTTTTGAAATTTGTTATTTAGTTTTTCCAGATGTTCTCATTGAGAGGATTGGTCAATTACATAGTCAATTTTTTACTGGGATTGGAAGTCCTAACACTATAGAGCTTTTATATCTGTTGAAGCATATTAGTGATCAAGTACAGCTTTTAATCTTACCCTGTTCCAAGGTATGGACTATAATTTAATTCCTTCATGTGTGCTTAAAAATTACACTATTTGAAATTATATTTCTGGGAGATAAAAGTGTCAACATTTAATCAAGGTTAGGCTGTGGTTTACTCAGAGCACCCTCCTTCCTAGCGTACACCCACATACAAATACATATCACATTAAAGATATACCTGTACTCATAATAAGATCGAAAGAAAACCTGCATTTACTGCCCAGGGCCACTATAGGTATCAACCTAGTGTGACAAACAGCAAGATTGCCTTGCAAATGGAACTAAGGCCAAAACATGCTCAAGAACTACATCTGCAGTATCCCAGTGTGACACCAGCTACCAGCAGTAGATAGGGTTCTGAATTGGAGACATGTAGTAATGGTATGAAGGGAGGCATGATTAATGGGGCAACTGTAACTACCCCTCCCCGAACACACGTATTAGGCACAAACCCAGAATGAGGGAGAAGACTTCCTTTTAAAAATTAGGATGCAAACTAAAACTCTGCATTTGAGTATAAGCAAGCTTGTTTGAATCTTAGAAGCTATGGATTGTCTTTGATTATCCTTTGCTGTATCAGACATGTAGCACACTTTTGAGCAGCTTTTACTCAACTCACTAGTATTAGGTTGTGCCAGTTTAGAGTACTTTCTGAGACATATCTAAAAGCAAAAATGGTGACATGGAAAGATTCTCGCTGTAATGGGAATTAAGAAAAATCCTCTTTCTCTTTCTCTATCTCTTAGATAGTCTTAGCATATTCAATACCTTAGGGCAGGAATTGATAATCTAGCAATGGGAATGGGTTTAGGGGATCTGTAGATCCTAGGAAATTATAAAACATATAAAACTTAGTTCCATTTGCAAGTTTTATGAAAACAAAAATATTTCTCAAAATATTTTTGAAATTGTGAACCCCGTATATCTGAGACAGGTCTCAGTTAATTTAGAAAGTTTATTTTGCCAAGGTTGAGGACTTGCAGAGACACAGCCTCAGGAGGTCCTGATGACACGTGCCCAAGGTGGTCAGAGCACAGTTTGATTTTATACATTTTAGGGAGTCATGAGACATCAATCAACATATGTAAGATGAACAGTGGTTCCATCCGGAAAGGTGGGACAACTCAAAGCGGGGAGGGGGCTTCCAGATCACAGGTAGATAAGAAATAAATCGTTGCATTCTTTTGAGTTTCTGAATAGCCTCTCCAAAGGAGACAATCAGATATACATTTATCTCAGTGAGCAGAGGGGTGACTCTGAATAGAATGGGAGGCAGGTTTGTCATAAGCAGTTCCCAGCTTGACTCTTCCCTTTAGCTTAGTGATTTGGGGGCCCCAACATTTATTTTCCTTTCACAGAATTTTTCTGGGAAAATGCTCTAATAGATTTTAAAGAGGCCTGTGATTCTTCCTCCCCAAATAACTGATAGATACCTGGAAAATCCCCCAGGTATTTCAAAGTTAAACAGCAAACATTTAAATGATCTATAGGCCAAAGAGGAATATTTTAAAAAAATATTTCAAACTAAATAAAAATGAAAATAGAACAAATCTATTGGCATTTGTAGGATGCAGCTAATTCAGCAAAATTCAAATCATTGAATACTTTTATTGGGAAGGAAAAAAGATCTCAATCAAGGATCTATTACCTTAAGAAACTAAAAAGAGGAAAAAAAAGGGCAAATTAAACCCATAATAAATAGTAAGAAGGAAATAATAAAGATGAGGCAGAAAACAATCAAATTAAACACAAAAAACCAATGAACATGATTAAAGCCAAAAGCATATTCTAGAATTATGATTTTTAGTAAAATCATTGTATACAAGGTATCACTGAAAACCAACTATTTCTATCTACCAGCTACAAACAGAAAATAGAATTTACTTTATAAAAGGCTATTTACAGTGGCAGCAGAAAATATCAAATTCCAGAATTTGATATTTTCAAATTCTAGGAATAATTTGGCAAAATATGGGCAAGACTTTACACTGAAAACTATAAGTTGTGTTGAAAGAAATTGAAGAAGAATTTTTTAAATGATGGTATATATACTATTCATGTATTAGATGACTCAGTATTATAAGGGGGTTGATTCTTCTGAAATTGATCTGTAGATTTGATGTAATTCCAATAAAAATTCTAACTTTAAAAAAATTTGATCAATTGATTGTTAAATTTTTATGGAAATGCAGAAGTGTCAAGAATAACCAAGACACTTGTTTCAAGGGATGGAGTCTTGCTGTGTTGCCCAGGCTAGATGCAATGTCGTGATCCTTGCTCACTGCAGCCTGGAACTCGTGAGCTCAAGGGATCTTTCTGCCTCAGCCTCCCCAGTAGCTGAGATTTCAGGCATGAGTTACCACACCTGGCAATCAAGACACTTTTTTAAGAAGAGGAACAATGCAGAGCGATTTGCTCTACTACATAAGAAGACTTATAAAGTTATAGTAAAGGCCAGGTGTGGTGTCTCACGCCTGTAAATCCCAGCAAACTGAGGGAGAATCACTTGAGATCAGGAGTTAGAGACCAGCCTGGGTAATTGAGTGAGATCCCATCTCTACAAAAAAAAAAAAAAAAAAAAAAAAAAAGTTCTAGTTAGGATAATGAAGTATAAAATATTAGCACAAGTATAGAAAAATGGAACATTGAAAGAGAAACAGTCCCACACATATACAGTCACAGTATATTCAAATTCACAGTAAACAATTAATTTTACCAAACAGCCACTTTTCTCCAGTTTAAACATCAACTGCCTAAAATAACATTACCGAAACTAAATGTAGTATATATTTTGGAAGTTTGGAGAAAATGAAGGAGTAAAGGGGTGTGTGTGTGTGTGTGTATAACATCTTTCTTTTCTTGGGTCTAGATTTTTTTATGTTCACTTTTGGTAATTCAAAACATATGTGAGGCTGGGTGACATGGCTCACGCCTGTAATCCCAGCACTGTGAGAGGCCAAGGCAGGTGGATCGCTTGAGCCATGGAGTTCAAGACCAGCTTGGGCAACATGCGAAACCCCATCTCTACTGAAAATACCAAAATTAGCAGGATGTGGTGGCACATATCTGATGTCCCAGATACTTGGGAAGCTGAGGCAGGAAGGATCACTTGATCCCAGAAGGTGGAGGCTGTAGCGAACCAAGATCATGGCCACTGCACTCCAGCCGGAGTAATAGAAGGATGTCCTGTCTCAGAAAAAAAAAAAAAAAAAGCACGTGTGAGTACTATCTTTGCTAAGAACCGGAGAGAGAACTTTTTGAAAAATTTTATGCCTTTCAGTTCTGTTTCAATTTTTACCATATGCAAGATTTTACAAGAAGGAATAATTTGATTAGTATTCAGAGGGAGTGATCACAATGAATGGGACTGAAGAGGCAAGTCCAAGTGCCTAAAAAGGCAGTAGCAGCCTGGCAATTACTGAAGCATTGTGTGTTCTGGACTTTGGTTATACCGCCATAAAGTGATACCTTCAACCCCAGATCCTCTTGCTTATAAGCGTGGACTCTTGAATACTGACAGACTTAAAACTGATTAAATGCTCTTGCTTTTCCAGAATTCCTCGTGACCCAGTCTGACATCCTTGAAACTATGTAACCTTAATCCTAGATCCTGCCAGCTCTAGCAGGCCATAGTAAGGGCTTTGGCCTTCACTCAGAATGAGAGGGAAGCTATTTAATGGTTGAATGCAGAAGGAGGAAATCTAATGCAAAAAGGAAGGATTAGAATGCAGGAAGTAATAATAAGTAATAATAAGCACAAAACATTGATAAACATATAGGTAAATCTAATCTTTAATTGCATAAAATAAGAAATAATAGTGACTAATATGGAACATAGAAGTAAGATGGAACTAAAATACAAGTCCACATTAAGGTATAAAATGAGGAAAGAGTGATGGATTTTAAAGCATTTTAAAATGCATGTCATTGTTCAGAAGGATTGTAAAGCCATAGATATATTCACTTAAATTGAATATAATTTTTTTTTTTTTTTTTGAGACGGAGTCTTGCTCTGTCGCCCAGGCTGGAGTGCAGTGGCACGATCTCGGCTCACTGCAAGCTCCACCTCCCAGGTTCATGCCATTCTCCTGCCTCAGCCTCCCGAGTAGCTGGGACTACAGGCGTCCGCCACCACACCCGGCTAATTTTTTGTATTTTTAGTAGAGACGGGGTATCACCGAGTTAGCCAGGATGGTCTCAATCTTGTGACCTCGTGATCCCCCCGCCTCGGCCTCCCAAAGTGCTGGGATTACAGGCGTGAGCCACCGCGCCAGGCCTAAATTGAATATAATATTAACAATTTAATTATGACTACTGAAAGAATAGAAATAGAATATATAACTTAGAATTAAGTTAATGGAAAAGGGTAAAAAAGGAAACTATCAGTTGAGTAAAAGGCTGAAAAATATACAGAAACAAAAGAAGCAAAAATTGAATCATGACAAATAAGGGAAAGTTTATAATAAGGTAGTAAAATAATTCCAACATATACATCACTGATCACAATAAATATAAATATACTAAACTGGCCACTGACATTTTTCAGTTTGCATAGAATCAATGGCTGAATTCAGCTTCGTGTGACATACCTAAAATATAAGGACAGATAAAGGATGAAAGTAAAGGAATGGAGAAAAAATATTTCAGGCAAATACTAATCAGAAGAATGCTGACATAACGATATTAACATTAGACAGAATAGACCTTAAGTCAAAAAACATTATTAGGGATTGTGAAGGTCACATATTGAGAAAAGGAACAATTTACAGGAAGGTAAAGAATTATGATACACCTTACAAGACAGCCTCAGACTAATAAAGCACAAGTGGATAGAATTATAGAGAGAAATGGACAAATCCACTATCAAAATGAGAGACTGTGGTGGGGAAGAGGGTCAGTCAAGCCACACTGGAATTATATCCTTTAAAACTACTTCTCTTGAGATGCTTTCTCAAACACTTATAGCCATTTATGGCAAACACAATCATAGAATGACGAATATAGTGCCATGTTTTGCAAACTGAATTCCTGCTTTCGATCAGGTAATGAACCTTTTTTCCTGGTTTTACATTATAAACATTAATATTAAAACGAATATACAGAAAGAACCTAATTAACTTGGAGTTCAGTAATACACTTTTTTATTATTAGGACTTTAGCTGAACTGAATATTATTGTTGGACTATATATAAAGAATTTCTTAGGCCAGGTGCAGTGGCTCACGCCTGTAATCCCTGCACTTTGGGAGGCCGAGGCAGGCGGATCACCTGAGTTCGGGAGTTTGAGACCAGCCTGACCAAGATGGAGAAACCCCGTCTGTGCTAAAACTACAAAATTAGCCAGGCGTGGTGGTGCATGCCTGTAATCTCAGCTACTAAGGAGGCTGAGGCAGGAGAATCGCTTGAACCTGGGAGGCAGAGGTTGCGGTGAGCCGAGATTGTGCCATTGCACTTCAGCCTGGGCAACAAGAGCGAAACTCCGTCTCAAAAAAACAACAAAAAGAATTTCTTACTACGAAAAGTAATAATGCATGTAAGATTATAGATTTAATTACATTTTTAAAATTATTTTTTAAAAATAGAGGTGGGGATCTCACTATGTTGTTCAGGCTGGTCTCGAACTCCTGGCCTCAAGTGATCCTCCCACCTCAACCTCCCAAAGTGCTGGGATTATAGGTGTAAGCCACCATGCCCGGCCCTTACCCCAGTTATTTTTTTTAAATTGTATTGATTAATTAGGGCTTAATACTAGGAAGCTGGGATTTTAGTTATTCTGTATCCCTCAAAGTAATAAACTGTCATTCTTTTTTGAAATTCTGTAGTTTGAAGTTTAGTTTGTACTATAATCAAATTACTATAAATCAAAGAAGCCTTATTCTGTACATTTCATGTAGATATGAAGGATTGTTTAAGTTGTTAATAAATTACTTACAGTATTCATTATTGGAAAGTGGGAAAAGCTCAGCATACCTGAAAGTGAACAGTTCTTTCTTTTTCAAATAATTAAAAATATGCAGACTTATGACTCTAAATTTAATTAACAAGGCCAGTGTTTAGGTCATGGGTAGATAGAAATTCTATCTGCTGTTCAAAAGCTTAAGATCCTTTCAGGAAAAATAAAAGCTCTTAGAGAGGATAATAGATTTGATTAGATGATTCATTCTTAGCAAATTGTGTTTGCGTTTCTTATCCCCTGTATTGCCAGGTGGAGATTTTGACAGGAGCATGGGTAATCTAGAGAAGGTTAATGAGAAAGTTAGGTTGAGAAAGGGGCTTTGTGTGGTAGGAATTGGTGGTATTTGAGCAACAGAGTTTTGAGTTACAAAGCTGTATTTTATTCCTGTGTGGTGTTCATGCTCATCTCTCATGCATAAACAAGACATGATTTTGTTTCTTACTTTTTGGTTATATATTAACTGTTCAAACTGGATCCCATCTCAAGCTGTCATCTCTTTAATAACAGATTTGTGTGAAGATTTAGCCTGATGTTAAGATACAACATTACCATTGAGTCTGTTCTGTGGTTCAATTATACCTGTCTTTATTTTGTAAATAGCTAGTAAAAAACCTCTTTTTAAAATTGTCAAATATTTGATAAATTTAACAGTCCAGGAGATAACTAAGAATGAAGAAGGCAATGAAATCATTCTCTGAACTGCTAGATTGATGTTACAGTGTCCATATACTAAAGCACACACACATAACTCATAGGAAAGTCTCCCGGCTTTAACATGGTTAGTCCTCTGGTTTCCCACTTCAAAGCAAGTTAGACCAAGATGAGGGAAGAGTATCAAAAAAAGATCAAAAAAGAGAAAGTTTACACCCTAGGAATAACTCGTATTCCTACGAGTTATTAAACAAGAAAGTTTACAACCTAGGAAGGACTCGTAAAATCACCAAAATTTAAAGAAGAATAGGAAACACCAAATATCAAAAGAGGTAGTAATCTAAGTTTGTTTAATGAATGAAGGGGAATGCAGCTATATATACCCTGCTAAGCTTGGATGAAGTCACTAAAAGCAGAGAAGAGATGTAACAGCATAAAAACACTGCTCAAACACTTGTGAACATTTACAATGGTTAACCTAAGTAGAATTTGCCTTCTTCAGGTACATGTTCTGTGTATCTTATTTATGAAACCAGAAAAGTATGGCATACGCTGTGAGAATATTTTCTTGAAAATATTTTCTGATAGTTTTAGCACTCAAGAAAATTAGTTTCATTTATTATCAAAATTTAGTTAGATTGATGTGCTGGGAAAGTGACAAATTCCTGTGTAAACCTACAGATTTGTCCTTTATTATACATTTTCAAAAACATACCCTAACCCTGGATTCCACATAAAGTATAATTTCTAATGTATTACAAACTCTCTCACACACACGTGTGTGTGTATTATTATTATTATTGTTGTTATTATTATTTGGAGACAGGGTCTGTCACCCAGGCTGGAGTGCAGTGATACAGTCACAGCTCACTGCAGCCTTGACCTCCTGGGGTCAAAAAATCCTGCCTCAGCCTCCTGAGGACCTGGGACCATAGGCAAGAACCACTATGCCCAGCTAATTTTTTCATTTTTTGTAGAGACAGGGTCTCACTATGTTGCTCAGGTTGGTCTCAAACTTCTGAGCTCAAGCGATCCTCCCACTTCAGCCTCCTAAAGTGCTGGGATTACAGGCGTGAGCCACCATGCCCAGCCTATACAAACTATATTTAGCCTGAAGGATCTTTGATAATTTAATTGTGAGCACATACATATTTAAACATATAATTTTACATTTTTATAGGATAATTGACAAGTTATAATAAACTAAGTGATATTTAATCATAAGTCTTACATTCCTTAATCTGAACCAGGTAATCTATGATAAAAGCATTTGAAAAATAAACATGAATAAAAATTAAGGCTGAGTGCAGTGGCTCACACCTGTAATCTTTGGAAGATCCCAAAGGTGACTTCTTGAGCCCAAGAGTTTGAGACCAGTGAGGGCAAAAAGTGGACCCTGTCTCTACAGAAAATTTAAAAATTAGCTGGCCATGGTGGTATATGCCTGTGGTCCCAGCTACTCGGGAAGCTGAGATGGGAGGATCACTTGATCAGGAGGTCGAGGCTGCAGTGAATCATGATCATGCCACTGCACTTCAGCCTGCGTGACAGAGGGAGACCCTGCCTCAAAAAATAAAATAAAAATTAATTATTTTTGTCTGTGTCACAGATCGGTAGATTAAAAAGTACCTTGATGAGATTATCTTTTCCCAAATCCTTCCTTTGGTCAAGTAAACAATAACCAAAGCAGTTTATCTTGTCGTATTATCTTAAATCTTTCAGAGATAGAGATTGCATCCTTTTAATGTTTATAATTTATGAAATTATATTGTATAACAATTTCTAAGTATATTCTACAAGTAAACCTTTTAGATACTTTATGGAATTCCACAGTGCCTTTTACTAGTGTTTTACTAATCTTCCTCTTTATGTAATGCTTCATACTATTTCTTTACATTTTTGCTTTTTTTTTCCAGTCTTTTTGTGAAAGCAAACTGCTGCATAGACATATCTGCTTTCTTTTTTTACAGTTCACAGTGTCACTTTAGCTCCTTTCATTGTTTGTTCCATCATGTGAATTGCCTAATAGACCCAACCATTCCCTTATTCTTAGACATGTAGGGTTTTATGATTTCTCAGTTTTATAAATATAATCTTTGTGTATAAACTTTTCTCTATTATTTTCTTATGATCCATTTTCTGGGGTTCGTTTTTGGTTTTTGTTGTTGTTTTGAGACAGGATCTGGATCTGTCGCTCGGGCTGGAGTACAGTGGTGTGATCTTAACTCACTGCAATCTCCACCTCTTGGGCTCACACCATCCTCACACCTTAGCCTCGCAAGTAGCTGGGACCTACAGGCGCGTACCACCACACCTGGCTAATTTTTGTATTTTTTGTAGAGATGGGGTTTTGCCATGTTACCCAGGCTGGTCTCAAACTCCTGGGCTCAAGCGATCCTCCTGCCTCAGTCTCCAAAGGGCTAGGATTACAGGTATGAGCCACCGTGGCCTGCTCCATTGTCTGGAATTTTTTTACAATATATTTCTTACATACATAAGGGTATGGCAATTTTGAGGCTCTTGGAATATATTGCTCCTTAGTATCTCGTGACTAGAGGATCATTGAACTGTATATCTAAAAAACTGATGTGATGTAGATCGGGAATTGCTAATAGATTTTATGCCCTGGGTCAAGTCTTAGAGATTTGTAGTCACTGCCTGGAGTGCAATGTTGAGAGACCATAACAGGGCCACAATTGATTATTGATGTCTTCTATATGCATGGGAGTGGGCATAAATAGACCACTAGAAGTGTTTCCATAGTATCTGGAAAGTAACTTACTTACCCTTTTGTAATTTATAAGTAATCTATAATATATTATTTTGTTCTTTTTAGACATTTTTCGGAGCCATCAACTTTATAACTCCCCACAAATAATTCTTAGATTTTCTTAATAGAAACTTAAAGTTGTCATCCAACTCATCCCTTGAATTGTCAGTTTTATTTCTTTTACTTTTAGTCCTCAGGCATGATGATTAGGGAGATTTTGGTCATTTCATCTGCAGATTAACAGTTATATAAAAACATTCTTCATGTTATTATAGCTATGTAGTTTATTGTTTCAATTATCTAGTCTCATCAGTTGTTTCTCACACATTGAATTCACATGCTGTTCCTAATGAGCAGATGTACAGAATTAGAATTTCTGAAGAATATTTTGTTCAGATAATTAAATTTTAAAAAATAGTGTATCTTGTCATTTGCACATAAGAATTATTTTAATTTTTATTTAAGGATTTGTTTAGCATTTGGATTCCCTCTCATTCCTTGTGTGTGTCTGCACGTGTGTGTGTGTATTTGTGTGTGTGTTTTAAAAATAAACTCAAATGCAACTCTTCTTGTTTCTAACATCTTTCCAGATTGTACTGGAATAGTGTAACATGATTAACCAGTATGTACATTTCTCCTATTTTACAATGTTGAATCTCTTATTGCTCCCACTTTTCTAGTTCCCTCATTCTCAGTGCTTTACAGCCAAAGCTGTATTTTTGCACCTTGGTACAATTTTATTCATCTCAAATAAGATAGGCTTTGAAAAAACAACCATATGTAATAAGCATCTTCTACTTTGAGATGCCTTGCTGAACATGTAGATGAATTAGTGATGGCAATTTTAAGGAGCTTACAGGAAATGGCTTGAGATAGTAAAGGTTAAAGTGGCTGAAGATGGGTGGAGGATTATGAAGTAGTTGAGGTGCCTACTTTATACAAGATACTTTGTTACCACAACCCAAATGGAGCAAAACCTACTCTGTAACTCCAGGCAGCTTCACTAGCGTTTTGTTCTCATTCCTAAATGCTAATCTGTTCCTTTGGCCCCTAGCCAGTACTGAGATAGACTAGAGGTTGGGGGAAGGAACCAAGCAAAGGAAAAGTGAAAAGAAAATTTGAATAAGACATAGAATTGTCTGGAGATAGAAATATGTGGTATTACCATTTTTAAGGCATTTTACAGTTTACATAGCATACTTTGGTATAAACTGTATTATTAGTTCCGTGTTACAGATTAAGAAATTGAAGCTACAAGTCACTCAGCTAGCAAGCAGTAGGGACGGCAGACATTCTGGGAACAGGAGTTTTCTGATTGCTTCTATTTTTTCAGGGAAATATACAGCAAAGTCATCAACTGAGAATAAGGAGGAGGGAAGGAGGTGTCGGAGATTAGAGAAATGAGGAGAAGGTGAGGAACAATCTCCTAGGGGCTTAGGAGCATGAATGGGATATTTAACAGTATTGACAGGCAACGCCAAGAACCCACCTTGGTTTAGTGATCATAGATTTAAAGTCCAACCAGTGAGAAGCTCATTCAGCTTCTCACACTCAGGCATTGACTTGGTTTCACCCAGGACTAGAATTTTCCTAAGTGACCATGAATATATGTATTCTTAATACCCTGCCCCGCTTGCTCTCTGAAAACTAATGAACTCTCCAGGCCCCAGTTTAAAGCCAGTATCTCCACAGTTGCACTGGATCCCATTTCCTTTCAAGATACCACTCACTGCTGAAGATATCACTCACTGCTGAAATTGATTTTAATGAATCACGTAATCTAATCCAGAAAGGAAGGAAATAAAGAAGTGGGTATCAGGGACTCCTGTGAGATAGCATGAGAAGGTGGTACATTTGGGAGGTCTCAAGGGGTTACTGAATTATTGGAATTAGAATCAAAGGGACGGCCGGTGCGGTGGCTCATGCCTGTAATCCCAGCATGTTGGGAGTCTGAGGTAGGTGGATCACTTGAGGCCAGGAGTTCAAGACCAGCCTAGCTAACATGACAAAACCCCATCTCTACTAAAAATACAAAAATTAGCCACGCATGGTGACGCATGACTGTAATCCCAGCTACCCAGGAGGCTGAGGCACAAGAATCACTTGAACCCAGTAGGTGAAGGTTGCAGTGAGCCAAGAACATGCCACTGTCCTCCAGTTTGGGTGACAGAGAGCCTATCTTTAAAAAAAAAAAAAAAATCAAAGAGAAGCATAAATATATCTACCTACTGTGTACTTACAGAAATTAAAATTAAAAATAAGTAAAATCAAAGGGAAAGATTTGAAATGGCAGCCTGAGAGTAGCATACTTGAACTCAGATTTGAGAGAGAGTTCAGTCATTATAATGGCAAGATTATAGAGTGTGACCATGGAAGAAGATAAATGAGTTGGAGTAAACAGTAAGATTGTTGAAGGAGAAGAGGACAAGGAATCGAGAGCCCATTGTATTGGAAGGATCATCTATTTGAATATTGATTTAATCAAGAAGTATTGCAGGGTCAACAGCAATGAGCAAACCTAGTGCCCAGATCTTTGTCTCTAATTCCATTTTCCACTAAAAGGAACCAGAACTCTTTGGAGACATGGCTGATTCCAGATAAAAATATTTCATCGATGTAAATCTGTGAAGTTGATAACAACTGTGGTTTTGTAAGAAAATATTCTTATTAGGAAATACACACATTGAAATATTTAGGGGTAAAGGGCCATAATGTATGTATAATTCAGAAAACAAATTATGCACGTTCCTGTATCTGAGAGAGAGAGAGAGAGAGAGAGAATACAAATGATAAAGCAAACAGGATAAAATGTAACATCAGTAAATCCAGATAGAGAACATACAGTATTCCTTGTACTGTTTTTATTTTTGTAACTTTCTGTAAATTTGAGATTACAGTTGCATAGGTCCACTTATACACAGATATTTTTCAACCAAAGGCAGATCAAAAATACCCTATTCACAGGATATAAAACCTGCATATGTAGAGAGCCAACTTTTCCTGTACGCGGGTTCCTCAGGGCCCACCGTGGGACTTGAATATGCGTGGATTTAGGTGACGGGTGGGTGTTACGGTCCTGGAACCAATCCTCCTTGTATACTGAGGGGAGACTATATTTCCTAAAAAAAAAACAAAAACAAACAAACAAAAAAACTATGACAAGAGTGGTGTTGGAGAGAAACACAAGGTCATCCACTTAGCTAACTATTGGACTTGGACTGATTATATTCTGGGCGGTAAAATCAGGATAAGCAGCAGATTATTTACATCTCCAGTCTTTTGGAGACTTACATTTTTTCACTTTGATATTTTTATTTTGTTCTTTGTTTTTGGCATGATGACGTTTCATTTTTAGTTCTTTTATATCAATAATATTTTGTACCCAAAACTATAATTTTTTTTATGTAGCTTTGTAGGTCTTTTGAACTTAAGTCATCTTCTCTTAACCTTCATTTTCACAAGGTTCACAGAGCATCAGTCGATAACCTTGGAATCCTGGGATTTTTTCTATGCTTTCTTAAAAAACAGTTTTATTAAGATATAATTCACATGTCGTATAACTCACCCATTAAAGTGTACAAGTCAGTGGTTTTTAGTATATTCACAGTCAATTTTAAAACATTTCATCACCCTAATAAGCAACTTCATACCAGTTAGCACTCACTCCTCATATACCCCACTGCCCCACTGCAATTTCCAATCAACTTTTGCCCATGTAGATTTGCCTAATCTGGATATTTCATATAAATGTAACCATTTAATATGTGGCTTTTATGGTTGGTTTTTTCACATAGAATAATGTTTTCAGAATTCACCTATGTTGTAGTATGTATCAGAACTTTATTTCTTTGTGTTGCTAAGTAATGTTCCATTGCGTGGATATTCTACATTTTATTTGTCAGTTGGTTGACATTTGCATTGTGTCTATTTTCTTATTATTATGAATAAATGCTGCTATGAATATTTGTGTACAGATTTTTGTGTAAACATGTTTTTATTTCATATATATATATATATATCACTAGGAGTTGAACTGCTGTGTCACATGGTCACTCTGTATCTACCTTTGAGGAAAGACCAGATTGTTTCCAAGCAGCTCCTCCAATTTTACATTCCCACCAGCAATGTATGAGGGTTCAGTTTTTCTACATCCTAGCCAGCATTTGTTATTACCTGTCTTCCTCATTATAGCATCCTATTGGGTGTGACTTGGACCTGTCTATACTTTGAAACCCCCAAAATATGATCAGTCCTCAATAATAAAGGATCTCCACCCTTTTCTAGCAGCAAGCATATCTACTCATTAAATACTGAACACACAAAACAAATTGAAATAAAATAACATAAAAATTCTTCCCCTTTCCCATTTCTTTGTTCTTCAAAATTGATTGAAGAGAATCTCAAGAGAAGTAAGAGAGGTTGGATTTTTTAAATTGTACAGCTAGAGCTTGTAACTTTTAAATGCCCATTATAGTCAGATGTATGTTTAGCATTTGACCCCCCCTGCCCCGAGTCTGCCATACCCACCGATGCCACTCACCATGGCCACTTACACTTCCAGAGTGCCTTATTCAGGAGCCTCTCCACCTCCTCACCTTGGCACAGAGCCCATCATTTGCTTTCTCTTGGGAGGTCAGAGCTTCTGTTAGTATTAGTTCACCACATTATTGATTAAGTTGGATTTTGTGGGCTCTTCTAAGTGGTTAAGCATTATCTTTTTAAGGTAGTTCTACAGGAAAATAAATATATTTTCAGGCCACCACCTTAGAACACAGCTTGATTGCAATTGTGATTATCTTTGTCCATGAGGAAAGTCAAAATAAATTGGAGTTGTTTAACCTGGTTATACTTTCTATGTCCTGATCAAGTTTAATTTATCTTTAAATAATAATTGTTATAAAGGATTGGATTAAAATCTGATCAATATGAGAATGGTTGATATTTTTTTTTTCTTAAATTTGAACCATGACAGTTAAGAGATTAACTCAATAAAGCATTCCATGTCCGTTTCCCTAAAACTCATGAATTTAGAAGTAAATTAAAGGTCAAGTGTAGAAAGTTTTTAATACCACGTCTACTGATCATCTATACACAGTATAATTTTGGGCTTTTTTTTAATCTATAAAAAATCATAGTAATACCCTCTTTGCACAATTCATTTCATTAGTGTATTAGGATGCCTATCAAATATACATGGGATTTAGGTTTATTTTTATTTATTTCTCTGTCTAGCCATCCCCTTTCCCCCTCCTTCCCGTCTCTCTCTTCTCTCCTTTCCTCCTCCCTTTTTTTGCGGGCTTATTTCTGAGCATTTGAATAGAAAGAGCCCAACTGGCAGTTGCCGGAAGGTATTCCTTAGGATTACTATGTTATTATATCAAAATAATAGCACACATGGGGCATTTGGGTCACACCTGCCTCAAGAGTCCATCAGCTGTGAAGTATAAATGGAGCTGTTCTTCCCGTGCAAGACCAATTGTGCTTCCACATCCATGGTGTTTTCTCTACACAGATTGCTGGTTTTACCTCAAGTCCAAAGCTTTAAGTTGACCTGAATATTTCCAGTTAACATTCTCTTTGTCAGAGGGGCATGAACTTCTCCCCGGTTAAAGAATGTGTGTGTGTGTGTGTATGTGTGTGTGTGAGAGAGAGAGAGAGAGAGAGAGAGAATTATCATTCTGACACATTCTTTTGAAATTGAATTCTTACAGCTCTCCACACAAGGAGATGCAAGTCAGGTGATTGGGCCTCTTACTGAAGGACAGAGAAGAAATGTGGCAGTAGTGAATTCATTGTATAAGTTGCACCAATCAGTAACAAAGGTAACTATTTTATTAAGTTTTTTTTTACTTAATTTTAAATTCTTCTTGCCTCAAATTTGGACAGTTTACAAATTGTTATTTAGTACTTTGGAAAAGAATACAATGAAAATGTGATGATTATAAAATAAACTAAGGAGTTAACTCTTTTAAACAGTCTTTGACTCTGGCCTTCGTTGTTTGTATGACTTTTTGTTTGTACATTCAGTTTAAAACACATGAACTATAGCTCCTCAAGTTAATTAAGTTTATTGAGCAAATTATTGGAGGACAGATCATACATATTTCATACTTATTGAAACATGTAATTTGATACACTGTGGATGGTAGTAAATTATAGCAAAGCTAATGACAGAATAAGAATGCTGAAGCCCTCCAACATGTCAAAAATGTTCTATTAATATCTTTGCATTAAAAAGTCAGGGAGGAGCTGTATTCAAAACTGAATTTTTATGATATAATCACTGATGACTGCTTACACATAGATAACATGTATTCATTTTGCTATTTTTCTACTAGAAATTTGAAAGAAATGGCTGAACCTTGTTTGTCTTCATATATTATGTCTAAGGTGAACTGTATTGTTAATTACTAAAAAAGCAACACTTTCAAGTCCATCTGTGACTCTGGAGTAGCTTGTGCTTAATTATTCTCTATAGGTCATTTTTGAAATATTTTATAAATGGGAAGATAATAATTTAGGAGACCTGAAGAAAGCTAATGGTTAAATGATGTTCTTGAAAACTTGACTTATAGTATAAGCTTTAATATACTAGATTGTGTTTTAGAATAATTCTAAGTGACTATTACTCACTTATTTAAAGATTTTAACAAGTCCTTTTATCAATTAGCGGTTTCTAAAAATGTGTATTTTACACATTAAACAAAATACATGTTAAAGAGTTATTAACAGGTAAATCTCAGAAGGGTAAAAATTATTAAAAAACACTAAATGATGTATTTTCCATTTTCTTTAATCATTACTCCAAAGCACCACAAGCAAGGAAAGATTGTGTTCTATCTAGCCTGCTTTAAATGTCTTTATTGATATTTTCAAAATTTTCATGATGTTTGTATTGATTTGTAAAAATTGAAATGCTGACATTTTTATTTTAAAGACTTGTTGGAAATCAGAGTCAGCCTAAAGACATGAGTGAAAGAAATGAGTAAATATGGCTTTATTCTGACCTTTTCAAGTTAAAACTTTATAATTAAAACCTATGTAACATGAATAAAGGAAACCTAGCTCTTAGTATTTATTAATGTTATTTGAAGTATGTGTTTGCTTTATACACAAAATTATTTTTCAACCTATCTTAATAAATACTGATTTTTAAAATCATGTATAAGATATTACTGTAAAGCAATGATAATATTGTATATATACTTTGTGGAAACAGCTTTATTATGCTATGATCAAAATTAGTATTTACAGAAATAGACTTAAGCGAAACTATAACTGGATCAAAACCTTGTTCTAGGTTGTTTCCAGTCAGAGCTCATTCCCACTGGCAGCTGAGCAAACTATAATTTCAGCTCTAAAGGTAAAAGAATTTAATCTTTGACTCTATAGATCAAAGTGGTTTTAGGATTATTTGTTTTGCTGAGTGGGCAATGTCACATTTTATAATAATTCAGAATCCTCTATATATACAAAAGTAGCATGTTGATAATTATCCTAAAGAGAATAGATAACAAGTGTGTTTATGTTTTCTAGAATTTAAAAATAGACCCTTTTGGTGTCTACAGATTGTGTTCTACTTATGACAGTTGTGTACATAGAAGCAAAAGTCTTACATGTATTTATCTAATGGCAGTACAACCCAGTATTATTCCAGTAGAGCAGTGGTTCTCCAGCAGAATCATTTTGTCCCCAGGTGACATTTGACAGCATCTGGAGACATTCTGGATTGTCATGACATGGTAGAGATGCTACTGGCATCTAGTGAGTAGAGGCCAAGGATTTTGCTGAACATCTTGCAATGCATAGGACAATGCCCACCCCTCTCTCATAACAGAATTTCCCAGTCCAAAATGTCAGTAATGCCAAGGTTGAGAAACCCTACTTTAAACTGAGGCATAAAACCAGAATATATTCTCATTTTTTCTATACAAACATAACTATACCCCCTTTCTATTATTTAGGAAATTGCATAAACAATAATGGTATGAGATTCAGAGCCATATGTAGTTGACAGTATCTCTTTTAAAAACAAGCATATTATCAAGAGTACTAGAGAGGCACATTTTGAAATATTACTACAACCCTTCAAGTTACGTATTTGTGTTCCCACTTTATATATCTTAGAAATAATATCTTGCTCAAGGTCATATCGCTGGTAAATGCAGACCTCATTAACTCTGAAGAGTTATGTCTACTACACCTTGCCACCATCTTTCCTTTATTTGCTAAATATTTATTTAGTACTTGGCGAGTAAGTAACTAAGGCCATAAAGCGTAGACTTTGGAGCCAAACTACCTGTATATGAATCCTATCTCAGCTATTTAACCAGCTATATGACCTCAAACAAGTAAATAAGCTCTCTCTTGCCTTAGTTTCTGCATCTATAAAATGGTACAATAAGCCTACACAAGAGTAATAAATTTTAACTATTAGATTGGATTTACATCTCTAAGGGAGAGTTTTAAAATTGAGATGAAAGTCTACAAGTAAATCCTATGGAGAAACACATATTTAGAGAAAAGAGCAAACAAGGAAAGAACAATCAGAAGAAGGAAGAAAATTAGGAGAATACTGTGTCACAAATCCTAAAGGGGAAGGGAGCTTCTAAAGTCAAATGCTTTAGAATTTACAGGGAATGAGGATTTAACAGGCACCAAAATGTAAGGACACTAAATTCATATATGAATGGATTTGATTCATTGAGGGTAAGAGAAGGAGACAGTCTATTTTCCCCCAGTGTATTAGAAGTATACTTGTATGTTTTCTCTATATCCCTTTTTCCCCTAATGTGCTTTAAAATATTTTTCCATAATAAAATAATTGTTTTTAGTAAGGTTGGCATATGTATCAATGATCATAAAATCAGGTCAATATGACAAATCTTAAAGTCTTAACATTCTTGGTTCCAGACCGGGAATGGATACTCTTCTATAATTCCACATTTTTTTCTTCTAGCAGTAACTATCAAACATTTTTTTGATAACTACCCAAAATCAGTACATTTTACTTTGTGCCCTCATACGTAATAAGCATTTATAAATATATACCTACATATGTAATTGCATAAAGTGTACTTCTATACACATAATTGATACAGAAGTTTCACAAAGTAATACTTATCCTTATTTTGTGTACGCATTCTAATATTTTCTATGCTAGTCTATTACTTTTTAAAACATTACGATACTGACCCACTGAAATGATTTTTTTGACCTCTAATGGTCAGACACAACCCACAGTTTCAGAAGGTCCATTCTCTGGATTAAGACAGAGTGCCTTCACTTTGATGATAAAAATCACTTGGAGAGTTAAAAATAGAAATTACTCATAGACTGTATTTCAGTATAGGGTAGTTTCTCTGAATCTTTATTTTTGACAGACAACAAAGATTATTCTTTTAATATATTAGCTGGAGTCAGTGCAGGGAAAATTGCCCTAATCTTGGGCTGCAGCCGTGACTCTGAGGTTTGCTTACCAGGACCAGTGCTGTGTGTAGCTGGGTCTGTACTTTGCTAAGGCATACCAATTTTGCCTTTTCGAACTCGATAACAGAAGACTAGCAGTAAGTACAAGGCCCTCCTGCAGTGGCCTCATCAGTTAGAGACTTCATTGCTCATGTTAATACACTCAGTGAAAGTTTTAACTTTGCTATTTAAGTCTTATAAAAAACTGTTATGACTTATTAAGTAAAAAGTAAAAAAAAAACCTGACTTAGAATAAAAAGGAATGTTGAATTTCATAAAATTGTTGGAAATTTAATAAGTCACTTTGAATTCAAGGTAGAGAGTTACGATGTATAAATGCCTGCAGCCCAACCCAGAAATCTGCTTGATTTTATTTCATAGAGAAGATATTAAACATACTTTTTAACTTACTGAAAAATATAGATATAGACATATAACAGTCCTTTCTTCTCTACCTTGAGATTTTATCCAAAATTAAATGTTATTTTAGGCTTGAGGTTCATCATTACGTATTCTTTTTTTTCATTTATTCAAAAATATTTATTGTCTGTCACATGCCAGGTATTAGTGATACACAGTGAAAGTCACAAATAAAGTCCTTTCCCATGTAGAGCTTTTATTGTAGTGAGGAGCCCAGTGGTGATAAGCGCTATGATGAAAAATAGAGCACAGTAAAGGATAGAGAATGGGGATGGAAGGAAAGTGCTATTTTATATAGGCCTCTCCAATCAAGAGACATTTTGGCAAAAATCTGAAGGAAGTGAAGGAGTGAGCCAAGCAGCCATCTGGGGCAAGTGTTCCAGGAATAGAGACCTGAATTGGACAGGCTTGTAATAGTCACAGAACAGCCAGGAGGCCCGAGTGGCTGGAGCAGAGTGAGTGAGAGTAAAGGAGCAGGAGTGAAGTTGGAGAGCGAGCAGAGCAGGGGTTGGGTGGAGAGCAGATGCAGAGTCTCCATCATCACATATTCTAAACATTGTCTAATATGTTATGAATGACATAATTAATATTGAGTATACATTTAGAGTTATTTCATTATAACCACCATAGCTATATAAGTACCATTTAAACCCCTTGGTCCAGTAATTCTGATCCATTTTTTACTGAGATTTGTCTTGTGCAGATAGTGATTACATTGCCAAATTTATATATGGCAATGCTTCTTTCTCCCTTTTTGTGTGGGTTTGATGTTCTATATAAAGGAATATTCCAGATTGCTGAGGCTCCAATATTTTTGTAATTTTAACTATTTTAGGTAAATCTTTTTAAAATGTATAACATATTTCCCTGCTTTGTAAAGAGCATAGGAAATATAATCTAATCTCCTTTCTCAGTTTCCTTGTTAGTTGTTAGTTTCTACCCATCCTTGAAATGAAGGCATTCCCCAAGATGCTCTCTTCTCTTCCTATTTCATATTTTTCCTAAGTGGGAAACCTCACCCAGCAATAAAGTTTTCTATGTAAACCACCATATCTTATGCAAATAGGGATTTTTATTTCTTACTTTCTGATCTTTATGCCTGTTTTTCCATGCCTTGTTTCACTGTCCAGGATCTGCAGTACAGTGTTGAATAGAACTGGTAAGAATGGACCTCATTTACTTGTTTCTGACCTGGGGGTAAAGCATTCAGTATTTTACTATTGTAAGTATAGTATTAGCTATAGGTTAATGATATAATAATGTTAGCTGTAGGTTTTTGATAGAAGGCCTTTGTCAGACTAAACAAGTTCCCTTCTATTCTTAGTTTTCTATTTTTTATTATTAATGGTGTTAAGTTTCATTAAATAGCTTTTTCTGCATCTATTGAAATAATCATATGGCTCTACTCTTTTATTCTGCTAATGAAGTATATTATAGTAATTTATTTTCAAATATCAAACCAACCTTAGTCATGATGTATTACCCTTTTTATGTATTCCTGGATACTTAATGTATCCTTTTATGTATTCCTGGATACTGATTTACTTAATTTTTGTTAAGGATGCTTACTTACATCTATATTCATAAGGTATATTGTCATAAAATTTTCTATGTCTTTATTTGGTTTTGGTAGCAAGTTAATACTGGCTTCACTAAATGAGTTTGAAAGTGTTTCCTCCTCTTCTGTTTCCTAGAAGAGTTTGTGTAGAATTTGTTTTTGTTTTTGTTTTTCTTCCTCAAGTGTTTAGTAGAATTCACCAGTGAAGCTATCTGGGTCTGTAGTTTTCTCTGTGGAAAGGCTTATAACTACACATTAATTCATTTAATAGAGAAAGGGCTATTTGTGTTATCTATTCTTCTTGAATGAGCTTTGATACTTTGTGATGTTGAAGGTATTTGTCTACTCATCTTAGTTATCTAATTTGTCAGAATAATCTGTGTAATACTTACTATCCTTTTGTGGTTGGTTTGTTTAAAGACAGGGTTCCACTGTGCTGCCCAGGCTGGAGTGCAGTGGCTATTCACTGGCACGATTATGGCGTGCTACAGCCTTGAACTTCTGGGCTCAAGGGATCCTTCTGCTTGAGCCTTTGAAGTGGCTGGGACTACAGGGATAAACCACTGTGCTGAGCTCACTTAACTATCTTTTTGATGTCTTTAGGACCTATAAGAATAACCTCTTTTTCATTTTTGATATTGTTGATTTGTGTTCTCTTCCTGTTTTTTTCTCGATCAATCTAGCTAGGAGTTTAGCAACTGTGTTAATTTTTTCAGTGAAACAGCTTTTAACTTTACTAGTTTTCTCTGTTTTCTGTTTCAATGATTTCTGCTTTTATCTTTCTTTATTTTCTACTTTTTGCTAGTTTCAATACTTTCTGTTTATCTTTGGATTTGTGAGTTTTCTTTGCTATTTTTTAAGATTTACTTGAGACTTTACATCATTGATTTTAGACCATTTTCCCCACAAATAAACATTTAACGTTGTAAATTTTCCACTAAGCACTGCAATTTTTCTGTGTTATACTTGTATCTTCATTCAGTTTGAAATATTTTTCTAATTTCCTTTGTGATTTCTTATCTGAGTCATGGATTATTTAGAAATGTGTTCTTAAAATTTCTAATTACTTTTGGGTTCTGCATATATCTTGTTACTGATTTCTAATTTAATTCTGATAACAGAATTAAATGTTGATGGTTTTACCTTTTTTTAAGTAAAAGCAAGTTTATTAAGAAAAGAAACAAAAGAATGGATACTTCATAGGCAGAGCAGCCAAATGATGATTTTTAATGATTATTTTAAATCATCATTTAAAATCTGATGAGCTTAAATTAAAGTTTATCATGTGAGTGTGATGGCAAAGAACACTCCTAATTTTCTTTTGCCAGAAATGTATTTCACTTTCATCTTTGAAGGATGTTTATACAGAAAATAGAAATATGGGTTTGAAAGATGTTTTTCTCTTAGCACTTAAAATATGTTCCACTGTTTTCTGGCCTCCATGCTTTCTGATAAGAAGACATTACTTATTAAAATTAGTTCCCTTGTATGTAATCTTTTTTTTTTTTTTTTTTTGGCTAGTTTCAAGATTTTCTGTTTATCTTTGGTTTTCAACAGTTTATGATGTGCCTAGGCATAGTTCTCATCAAAATTATCCTGTTTGGGATCTGCTGATTTTCCTGAATCTGTAAATTCATGCTTTTCATTATTTTGATTAGCGTGAGGCCTTTTTCCCTGCCGAGTAGTTTTGCTGCCTCATTCTCTCTCTGCCCCATTATTTTCTTTTCTTACAGGACTCCAGTTACCAGTATATTAGACATTTTGCAGTTTTTTCTTAGGTTTAATTATTTTTTAGTATTTTTTCTCTTCTCCAGAGAGATTTCTGTTAATTCTGTCTTCAGGTTCATTGACTCTTTCCTTGGTCATCTCTACGTATAATTCTTCTACGAAGCCTATCCCGTCAATTTTACAATTTCAGCTACTATAATTTTTAAGTTTAAATATAACTTTTTTTTTACATTTTCATTCACTCTACTGAGATTTCCTATTATTTTATTTATTGTGTGCATATTTTTCCTTGCCTCATTGAGGTTCTTGCCTGATAATTCTAGAGTCTGGTTCATCTCAGGGTTAAGCATCTCTTGATTGTCTTTTCCCCTGAGAATTGATAAAATTTCCTAGCATTTTATATGTGTAGTAATTTTGAATAAATCCTGAACACTGTGAATGTTATGTTGTGTAGAAACAGGATTTTTTTTTTTTTACCTTTTTTTATAAGCATGTTGGTGATTTTGCTTTACAGGCAATTAGCTTGGTTATACTCAAACTGTGTACTGTCATACCTTCAGTTGGCCACACCTCAGTCAGTTCACTTCTTTAAGCCTCAGTTGCAAGCCGCATTTAGTTTGCTCTGCACATGCATTACTGATAGTTAGCTGAAGACTCGTGCCGAGTTTAAACATAAAATTAGGCGGTCTTCTCTGGCTCTCTCCTTTTCAAGCTCCCTCTCTCACTCTCCAGCAGCTCTGTACCACTGCCGTGGCCTTATAGTTGTACTCCTTTTTGTAGTCTAATTTGTCCAGTTTACTCTCCAACATGGTTTTTCCTAAATCCAAATCATTAACCACATTTTGTCTATTGCTTAAAACCCATCATTGGTTTCCTGGTACCTTTAGGATAAATTCCTAACTTCTTAGTAACCTATACAAAGTACACCTCTTGCTGCCTCTGTCTCTTCCAGGCACTTATACTCCATATATACTGAATGTCTTGTGGTTTCCCAAGTGCCTCAGCTTTCCCAAACTCCTATGCTTGGGAATCCGAAACTTTTTTAGTGTCAACATGACGCTCAAAGGAAGGTGCTCACTGGACACTTTCAGATTTTGGATTTTGGGTTACTCAACATGCATAACGTTTTAACTATTCTCACTAGACTCTGAGCTCCTGTATGGAGGGCAAACTATATGTATACACACACACACACACACACACACACACACACACACACACACACACACAATCCTGTACGTTGTATATTTATTTTTACCAGAGATTAAGGGTTATAGATTAGGAATTTAATGATTAAGGGTCCTATATTTTACCTTTGCTCATTGATTTTGATCATTTGTATGAGCCAAAACTATCTATCTTCATTATATTATCTTTGAAGTGTGTATAATATATTTACATTTTTGATTTTACGTGTTTTGAGCCTCAGTCATTATTTTCACACTAAAAGCCCATAACTAAGACCTAGGGTTTTACATCAAGTAAATGATGATTTATACCTCCCTGTTGAACAGTTTCCCAACCATGGCACTATCAACATTTTGAGCTGGGTAATTCTTTGTTATAGGGGCTGTTCTGTATTCCGTAAGATGTTTAGCAGCATCTTTGTCCTCTACCTACTAGATGCTAGTAACACACTTGTACCCCCATCCCCAACTGTGACAATGAAAAATGTCTTTAAGCAATACCAAATGTTTCCTGGGGAACAAAACTGCCCACAGTTGAGAATCACTGCTGTAGAACTCTCAACTGAAACCTAATTCATGAAATGCGCAACTGTTGTGCCCTATTAGAAACATTGTTCTGGAGCCTACTTGCGGGTAGAAGGTGGGAGCAGGGGAAAGAGCAGAAAAAAATAACTATTGGGTACTAGGCTTAGTGCCTGGGTGATGAAATAATCTATACTACAAATCCCCATGACACAACAAACTCCTATATAATAAATCTGCACATGTACCCTTGAACCTAATAGTTAAAAAAAAAGAATCAATGTCTGTTTATTATATTCACTCTGGTTAAAAGCATATGATGTTGTTCCAATTCTTAAATAATTACTTTTGGTCCTGCCTAACTCTTTTGTGAAACTTAAATGTGTTCATTTGACCTTTACCTCATTAGTGGAACTACTGTCTTCTTGCGTATGCCTTCCCTTTTTCATGGGCTTATTTAACCACTGAACCTTTTGGAAAAAATAAGAAGAGTGGGGGTGTTGAAATTTGTTAGTGCCATGTTCCACATATTTTAAGCTTTAAAAATCATTACCGACAGTGGTTAGGGAGAGGAGCAGACTTCTGTTAACTTAGTCTGCATTTGATATAATATGAAAACTGTTAGTCACGGTGTTTCTCACATCTCAAATTTCTTTGGGTTGTTTTTCTTTAATCTTGCCTCTTCTTTTTTTTCTTTCTTTTTTTTTTTTAGGCTATTCATGCTCTTATGGAAAATGCTGTGCAACCCTTACTCACTTCTGTGGGAGATGCTATAGAGGCCATAATCATCACCATGCATCAAGAAGACTTTTCTGGGTAATTACTTCTAACCAAATTTTTACTAACTTTTACTGCCTTTATTTTGTATTCCCACCTCTATGCTTACTCCCTAAGCTGCCCCCCTGCCATCCAGGGCCTTGTTCCTTTTGTGATGGCATTAGTTTTCAGCCCTCTTCATTACCCATTGTGAGCGCCATTCACAGATTAAAATTTTTCAGTTCTCGTTTTCATCACTTCTCTTTTTAAAAACTTTTTCTTTATGAACAGTATCACGTTACATGTGCATACATTTCTCTCTTATTGAAACATAAAATGAGTCTGTGGGACTTAGCCTGGTACTTCAGGACTTTTGGTAGTTTGTACCATCTCCCCTTCCCAAGCTTGTCTTTTTCCTTACTTCTCACAAATACCCTCTACTTCAGCCCCTTTGTTACCCCTTGGCATAGGCATGGTATTCCTTGTGTAAAATGCCCTGCCTCTGCCACTGTGCTAGTCCAAATCCTGCTTTGGCTCTGGGCAAGCTGCAGCCCAACCTCCTCCAAGATTGATTTTTCTTCCTCGGAGGTTATGTGACAATCTAATCTGATCACATCACACCTAGCCACAAACACTATGGTGTTATTCCAAACCTGTTTCATATGTGTCTTGCTCATCCATGTCATAGGTATCCTGAGAATAATAATCATAGTTCCTAATCCAATATTTACAGAAATCTTTTAAAATAGAGTAAAATGGTTTTGGTTCAGTGTATTAGAAAACTTTGGAGCATTTGGAATAGTTATTTGCAAATGCTTGCTGTGATTTTTAAAAAACTTAACCACATTAAAGCTAAATACTCAAATATTAATATGTAGATATGTATTTTATATTCCCAAGTTCATAGTTATTATTTTTGAGCAGTCCTGTTTCTCTTTACATTCTTGTTGTTTTAAAGAATATCTGTTTTATGAAATTTCCATCTATGAATTTAGCTATTTATAGAAAAATATTATTTCACTGTCCTCTACTTTTTCAACTTATTATTTCATTTACAAAGTTTTTTAATTTTTTTGTAACTTTTATATTAGGTTTGGGGGCACATGTGAAGGGTTGTTACATAGGTAAACACGTGTCATGGAGATTTGTTGTACATATTATTTCATCACCCAGGTATTAGGCCCAGTACCCTGTAGTTATCATTTCTGCTCCTCTCCCTCCTCCCACCCTCCCCTGTCAAGTCGACCCCAGTGTCTGTTGTTTCCTTCTTTGTGTTCGTAAGTTCTCATTATTTAGATCCCACTTATAAGTGAGAACACATAGTATTTGGTTTTCTGTTCCTGCAATAGGTTGCTGAGGATAATAGCATCCAGCTCCATCCATGTTCCCACAAAAGACATGATCTTGTTATTTTTATGGCTGCATAGTATTCCATGGTGTATATGTACCACAATTTCTTTATCCACTATGTCATTGATGGGCATTTAGGTTGATTGCATGTCTTTGCTATTGTGAATAGTGCTGCGATGAACATGCACATGCATATGTTTTTATGGTAGAATGATTTATATTCCTCTGGATATATAGCCAGTAATGGGATTGCTGGGTCAAATGGTAGTTCTGCTTTTAGCCCTTTGAGGAATCACCATACTGCCTTCCACAATGGTTGAACTAATTTACACTCCCACCACAGCGTATAAGTGTTCCCTTTTCTCTGCAACCTCACCAGCATCTTATTTTTTTGTCTTTTTAATGATAGCCATTCTGACTGGTGTGAGATGGTATCTCATTGCGGTTTTGATTTGCATTTCTCTAATGATCAGTGGTGTTGAGCATTTTTTCATGTGATTGCTGGCTGCATGTATGTCTTCGTCTTCTTTTGAGAAGTGTCTGTTCATGTCTTTTGCCCACCTTTTAATGGGGTTGTTTGTTTTTCCCTTGTGAATTTGTTTAAGTTCCTTATGGATTCTGGATCTTAGACCTTTGTCAGATGCATAGTTTGCAAATATTTTCTCCCTTTTTGTAGATTGTCTGTTTACTCTGTTGATAATTTCTTTTGCTGTGCAGAAGCTCTTAGGTTTAATTAGATCCCGCTTGGCAATTTTGCCTTTTATTGTGATTGCTTCTGATGTCTTTGTCATGAAATCTTTGCCTATTCCTTTGTTCAGGATAGTATTGCCTAGGTTGTCTTCCAGGGTTTTATAGTTTTGGGTTTTGCATGTAAGTATTTAATCCATCTTGAGTTGATTTTTGTGTATGGTGTAAGGAAGGGGTCCAGTTTCAATCTTCTGTGTATGACTAGCCAGTTAGCCCAGCACCATTTCTTGAATAGGAAATCTTTTCCCCACTGCTTGCTTTTGTCAGCATTGTTGAAGATCAGATGGTCACAGATGTGCGACCTTATTTCTGGGCTTTCTATTCTGTTCCATTGGTCTATGTGCCTGTTTTTGTACCAGTACCATTCTGTTTTGGTTATGGTAGCCTTGTAGTTTAGTTTGAAGTCAGGTAACGTGATGTCTCCAGCTTTGTTCTTTTAGCTTAGGATTGCCTTGGCTATTCAGGCTCTTTTTTGGTCCCATCTGAATTTTAAAATAGTTTGTTTTTCGTTCTGTGAAGAATATCATTGGTAGTTTGATAGGAATAGCATTGAATCTGAAGATTGCTTTGGGCAGTATAGCCATTGTAATCATACTGATTCTTCCTATCCATGAGCATGGGATGTTCTTCCATTTGTTTGTGTCTTCTCTGATTTCTTTGAGCAGTGTTTTGTAGTTCTCATTGTAGAGATCTTTTACCTCCCTGGTTACCTGTATTCCTAGATGTTTTATTCTTTTTTGACAATTATGAATGGTATTGCCTTTCTGATTTAGCTTTCAGTTTGGCTGTTGGTGATGTATAGGAATGCTAGTGATTTTTGTGCATTGATTTTGTATCCTGAAACTTTGCTGAAGTTGTTTATCAGCTGAAGGAGCTTTTGGGCCAAGACTATGGGGTTTTCTAGATATAGAATCATGTCATCTGCAAACAGAGGTAGCTTAACTTCTTCTCTTCCTATTTAGATGCTCTTTATTTCTTCCTCTTGCCTGGTTGCTCTGGCTAGGACCTCCAATACTGTGTTGAATAGAAGTGGTGAAAGAGGGCATCCTTGTCTTGTGCTGGTTTTCAAGGGGATTGCTTCCAGCTTTGGCCCATTCAGTGTAATGTTGGCTGTGGATTTGTCATGGATGGTGCTTATTATTTTGAGGTATGTTCCTTTGATACCTAATTTATTGAGAATTTTTAACATGAAGAAGTGTTAAATTTTATCAGAAGCCTTTTCTGGGTCTATTGAGATAATCATGTGGTTTTTGCCTTTAGCTCTGTTGATGTGATTAATCACATTTACTGATTTGCATATGTTGAACCAATCTCGTGTCCCGGGGATGAAGCCTACTCGATTGGCCTGAAGTTTTCTTTTTTCGCTGTGTCTCTGCCAAGTTTTGGTATCAAGATGATGCTGGCCTCATAGAATGAGGGTTGGGGAGGAGCCCCTCTTCCTCCATTTTTTGGAATAGTTTCTGTAGGAATGGTACTAGCTCTTCTTTTTACATATGGTAAAATTCAGCTGTGAATCCATCAGGCCTCAGACTTTTTTTAGTTAGTCAGCAATTCATTACTGATTCAAACTCGGAACTCATTATTAGTCTGTTCAGGGAATCAGTTTCCTCCTGGCTGGGTCTTGGGAGAGTGTATGTGTCCAGGAATGTGTCCATCTCTTCTAGGTTTTCTACTTTTTGGGTTTAGAGGTTTCTGATTTTTTTTTTCCTATGGGGTCAGTAGTAACATTTTCTTCCTCATGTCTAATTGTGTTTATTTGATATTCTCTCTTCTTTATTAGTCTAGCTAATGGCCTATTTTATTAATTTTTTTCAAAAAGCCTACTCCTGGATTCATTGATCTTCTGAATGGTTTTCATGTCTCTGTTTTCCTCAGTTCAGCTCTGATTTCTGTTACATCTCATCTTCTGCTAACTTTGTTGATTTGTTCATGCTTTTCTAATGCTTTAAGTTGTAAAGTTAGGTTGTTAATTTGAGATTTTTTGGCTTTTTGATGTCAGCATTTAGTGCTATGAATTTTCCTCTTAACAGTGCCTTAGCTGTGTCCCAGAGATTGTGATATGTTGTATCATTGTTCTTGTTATTTTCAAAGAACTTTTTGTTTTTTTGAGATGGAGTCTTGCTGTGTTGCCCAGGCTGGAGTGCAGTGGCGTGATCTTGGCTCACTGCTGCCTCCACCTCCTCGGTTCAAGCGATTCTCCTGCCTCAGCCTCCTGAGTAGCTGGGATTACAGGCCCGCACCACCCCTACCCCAGCTAATCTTTGTAATTTTTTTAGTAGAGACAGGGTTTTGCTATGTTGGCCAGGCTGGTCTCCAACTCCTAACCTCAAGGGATCCAGCTGCCTCAGCCTCCCTAAGTGCTGGGATTACAGGCATGAGCCACCACGTCCAGCCCAAAGAACTTCTTGACTTCTGCCTTAATTTCATGTATTTACCCAAAAGTCATTCAGGAGCAAGTTGTTTAATTTCCATGTAATTGCATGGTTTTGAGCAATTTTCATAGTCTTGACTTCTGTTTTTATTGTATTGTGGTCTGAGAGTGTGTTTGGTATGATTGATGTTCTTTTACATTTGTTGAGGATTGTTTTATGTCCAATTATGAGGTCAATATTAGTGTATGTGACGTGGTGATGAGAAGAATGTGTATTCTGTTGTTTTGGGATGGAGAGTTCTGTAAAGGTCTATCAGTTGCATTTGGTCCAATGTTGCATTTAGGTCCTGAATGTCTTTGTTAATTTTCTGCCTTGATGATCTATCTAATACTGTCATTGGAGTGCTGAAGTCTCCCACCGTTATTGTGTGGGAGTCTTTGAAGGTCTTTGAGATTTTTTTTTTTTTTTTTTTTTTGAGATGGAGTCTCGCTCTGTCCCCTAGGCTGGAGTGCAGTGGCGTGATCTCGGCTCACTGCAAGTCTACCTCCTGGGTTCACACCATTCTCCTGCCTCAGCCTCCTGAGTAGCTGGGACTACAGGCACCCGCCACCGCACCCGGCTAATTTTTTGTATGTTTAGTAGAGACGGGGTTTCACCGTGTTAGCCAGGAGGGTCTCGATCTTCTGACCTTGTGATCCACCCGTCTCGGCCTCCCAAGGTGCTGGGACTACAGGCGTGAGCCACCGCCCCAGGCCGAGACTTCTTTGAAGGTCTCTAAGAATTTGCTTTAGGAATCTGGGTGTTCCTGTGTTGGGTCCATATATATATAAGATTGTTAAATCTTCTTGTTGAATTGAACCCTTACCGTTATGTAGTGTCCTTATTTGTCTTTTTTGATGTTTGCTGGTTTGAAATTTGTTTTGTCTGAAATTAGGACTGCAACCTCTGCTTTTTTCTGTTTTTCGTTTGCTTGGTATATTTTCCTCCATCCCTTTATTTTGAGCCTGTGAGTGTCATTACATATGAGATGGGTTTCTAGGGTGATCTCAGTGTTCCTTCCCCAAATCGGAGGCAGCAGAGGAGGGGATCTTAGTAGTGGCTGTGGCCAAGGGTCGTTTGCTTGTCTCCTGGGGGCTCCACCCCAGACAGATGCATGTTAGCACTCACTCACTGCAGTCAGCCCAGTGGGGGAGGGTCTAAGCTGTGGGCCTAGCAAGGAGTGTCTATGCTGTGGGCCCAAGCCAGGGGTTCTCCTGGTGACAAGCAGTGGGGTAAGAGGCAGGGGGACCTGTGGGAGACAGACTGGTTTCCTCTCCTTGGGTTGACTGCAGCTTGTTGGAGGTGTGGATAAGGTACTTAGGGTCTTTGCTCCTTCATTAATCCAGGGGTGACAAGGGCAGTTCCATTGCAGGGGCAGTGGCAAAGAGGCTCTCAGCTGCCACTGGAGGCTCTGCTCTTGGAGTTGCTGAGTTGCTACTGGCTTGATAGCTCTGGCTGGGGATGGCTGGAGGCCCAGGCCTGCCCGGTGAAGAGATATGGGAACAGGTACCCATGTAACAGTCTGGCCACTTTGCCATAGGGCTGCTGCAGTATGCTTGGGGCCCATTCCAGTCCCTAGTAGACTCGGATTTTCCAGTGCTTGGAGTTACCACCAGTGAAAGCACTTTTCTGGGCAGTGGGGGTTCCCCTGGCTCTGTGTTGCTCCCGGGTGAGGCGTTGTCCTGTTTTGCTTTTCTTCATTCTCTGTCGGTCAGGTTGTTTCCTTGATTAGTCCCTGAGTACCTGGATGTTTCAGTTGAAGGGGTCTGTTCCTCTCCATGAGAGCCCTGCACACTAGCTGCTTCTAATTGGCCATATTGACCTCTCCCACATGGGAAATGTGGGAAATGTCAAAAGATCAATCTAGGCTGGGCACAGTGGCTTATGCCTGTAATTCCAGCACTTTGAGAGGCTGAGGCGGGCAGACTGCTTGAGCTCAGGAATTCAGGACCAGCCTAGGCAGCATGGTGAAACCCTGTCTCTACAAAAAATACAAAAATTAGCTGGGTGTCGTGGTGTGCATCGGTAGTTCCAGCTCTTTGGGGAGCTAAGGCAAGGGGATGGTTTCAGCCTGAAGGAATTGAGGCTGCAGTGAGCCGTAATCATGCCATTGCACTCCAGGATAGATGACAAAGTAAGACCCTGTTTCAAAAAAAGGAAAGATCAGTCTCTATTTTAAAAAATATATGAAGCACAGGCTGGGCGCGGTGGCTCACGCCTGTAATCCCAGCACTTTGGGAGGCCGAGACGGGCGGATCACGAGGTCAGGAGATCGAGACCATCCTGGCTAACACGGTGAAACCCCGTCTCTACTAAAAATATAAAAAAATTAGCCAGGCGTGGTGGCGGGCGCCTGTAGTCCCAGCTACTCCGGAGGCTGAGGCGGGAGAAGGCGTGAACCCCGGAGGCGGAGCTTGCAGTGAGCCCAGATCGCGCCACTGCACTCCAGCCTGGGCGATAGAGTGAGACTCTGTATCAAAAAAAAATAAATAAATAAAAAATAAATATATATATATATAGATAGATAGATGGATATAGATATATATATATATATGAAGCACAGAAGGGTAAAGTGAATTCTACCGAAAAAAAAACTATATTTGGAACTCAATATAACATAGGATTATATAACTGCTGATTACCAATATTTGAGAGGAAATGGTTTTTGTTCAAAAGTGATCTGAAGTGTCCCAGTTAGATCAATCATGAATGCCTCTCAGAAGGGAGCCAAAACAAGCTGATTTTTGAAGGCTTATTCTATAATAACAGTGGTCACATACTTTTAATTTAATTGGTGAGCTGCAACTAGTGCCTGTAGATAACACATTAGACATTAACAGCTGAAAGTTAGTTCCCAAATAGATGTGTTTTTACTAATTTGCTTAAATTCTAGTGAGCCAAACTGTTTCTTCAACTGATAGGTTGCCATGAGTATGAAGCATTATTTTAAGGTGCCTAACATTGTCCGTATTTTTTTTCCCAGTTGCTTTGGTGACTCCATTTCAGCTCAGTGTATACAACAGTCATTTGAGATTCATGTATACAGCAGTCAGTTGAGATTCCAGTGAAAGTTATTCATATATAGCAGTACAGGCATATGGAGCACTGCTGCTTTTATTTAAAGTATTGCCCCCATGGCAGTAATTTTCCTACTTTGTAGAATCTTGTGATTAGTAATTCTGTAATGGCATGTCATTTCATATATATATGGCTTATGTGAAATATGAGGTGGAGTTGGATTAGTCAAGAAGCAGAAATTGCCTTTATTTTAGGGCCAGCCCCCAGGGATAACAATTAGAAAAACAATAGTGAAAACCTGACCCTTCAAGCCCTCCACACCTATTCCTAAGTAAAAGGAATAAAGTTTACCTTCAAGTCTAACTTACATGTGGTAGGGTTACAGACTCCCCTGCTATTTAAAGAGTAATCATGGGCTGGGCATGGTGGCTCACGCCTGTAATCCCAGCACTTTCGGAGGCCGAGGCAGGCAGATCACTTGAGGTCAGGAGTTTGAGACCAGCCTGGCCAACATGGTGAAACCCTGTCTCTACTAAAAATACAAAAATTAGCCCGGGGTGGTGGCAGGCAGCTATAATCCAAGCTACTGGGGAGGCTGAGTCAGGAGAATCGCTTGAACCCTGGAGGCAGAGGTTGCAGTGAGCCAAGATCGAGCCACTGCACTCCATCCAGCCTGAGTGACAGAGTGAGATCCTGTCTCAAATAAATAAATAAATAAGTAAAGAGTAATCATCAACATGGTTTCTTGGTATTTGAAATTTATTTTAAAAGACTGACGTGTTTCTTTCCAAATTAGACAAAAATTAAAATGTAAATATCTGATTGACATAGAACATTGATTAAAATTGTTGCAGTCCATGTAAAGTGACTCATATCTGATTACAGTTTTGAGTAGGGAAGGGAAGGCAGTGAAAGAAGAACTCTACATTATTAAAGTGATAGATGAGCCCCTTTGTGGAAGGGAGAGCACTCACACAAAAGGTTAGTGGCATGAAGATTAACATTCACTTCTTGGTTATGCGTATGTTTAATTCTTCTATTTGGCCACAAACCAAGTCTGAACAAATTAAAGGGAGCTGAAATCAAGTATCTTTTCTAATGACAATGGTATGAAACTAGACATCAATAATAGGAGAAATCTTCGAAATTTCACAAATATGTGGAACTTAAACAACATGCACCTGAACAACCAGTGGATCAAAGGAGAAATCAAAAATATCTTGGGACAAATGAAAATGGAAACAAAATGCATTTTGTTTAAACAAGTAAAATATCTATACACTGAAAACTATAAAACATCAATGAAAGAAATCAACAAAAACACAAATAAATGGAAACATATTCTGTGTTCATGAATTGAAAGAATATTGTTAAAAGGTCCATACTACCCAAACCAGCCTTCAGATTTAATGCAATCTCTACCAAAATTCCAATGTCATTTTTCACAGAAATAGAAAAAAGTAATCCTAAAATTCATATGGAACTACCAAAATCTCTGAATAGCCAAGGCAATCTTGAGCAAAAATAAAGCTAGAGGTATCACACTACCTAATTTTAAACTATATTACAGAGCTACATGATGATTAAAATGGCATGGTGCGCTGGCATTGACCAATGAAACAGAACAGAGAGCCCAGAAATGAGCTCACACATTTATAGTCAATTGATTTTCGACAGAGGTGCCAGGAACACTCAATGGAATAAGGACAGTTCCTTCAATAATAAATATGTATTAGTAAAAATGGATATCCAGATGCAGAAGAATGAAATTGGACCCTTATCTCATACCATATGTGAAAATCAAATGAAAATAGATTAAGAACTTAAATGTAACACCTGAAACTAAAACAAATTTAAGAAAACAGGAAAATCTGAGCAATAATTTTTTGGATTTGATCCCAAGAGCTCAGACTACAAAGCAAAAATAGACAAATGTGATTACATTTATCTAAAAAGCTTCTGAACAGCAAAGAAAACAAGTGGAGTGACAACCTATGGATTGGGGAAAATACTTACAAGCCATACATCTGATACGGGGATTAACGTCCAAAATATATAAGGAACTCAAATCAATAACAAGAAAACAACCTGATTTAAACATAGGCAAAGGACCTGAACAGACATTTCTCAAAAGAAGACATACAAATGGCCAGTAGATATGTGAAAAAACATTCAACATCACTAATCATCAGGGGAATGCAAATTAAAACCACAATGAGATTGCACCTCACACCTGTCAGAATTGACTTATCAAAAAGATGAAAGATACCGAGTGTGAAAGACGATGTACAGAAAAGGGAACCCTTGTATACTGTGGTTGGAATGTAAATTAGGCAGCCATTATGGAAAACTGTAAGGACGTTTCTCAAAAAACTAAAAACAGAACTACCACATGATCCAGCAGTCCCACTTCTGGATACATAACCTAAGAACTTGAAATCAGTATGTCAAAAGATATACGCACTTCCATGTTCATTGCAGCATTACTTACAATGGCCAAGTTATGGAATCAATCTAAATGTCCACCAACATTTAGATTGATAAATGGATAAAGAAAATGTGGTATACATACACAATGGAATACCATCCAGCCTTCAGAAAGACAGGAATTCTGTTAATTGCAACAAATAGATGAACCTACAGAACATTATGCTAAGTGAAGTAAGCCAGACACCAAAAGACAAATACCACATGACCTCACATATCTGTTGTCTAAAACAACCGAATACATAGAAACAGAGAGTAGAATGGCAGTTAGCAGCTATGGGGTGGAGGGAATAGAGAGATGTTGGTCAAAGGGTACAAAGTTGCAGTTAGGAGGAATAAATGATAAGTATTTAAGGTGATGAGTATGATTACCTTGATTCAGTCATTCCACACTGTATACATATAACATTACTGTGTATCCCCTTATTATATATTATTATAATTCATCAAAAATAAACATTAAAAAAATGAAATAGATTGGCACCATTTTCGGATAGGGAGGCTTCTTTTATTTGTTTGTTTTTGCAGCCTGGCCTTGTGGAGTGACAAACCTAGAGTAAAGCTAGGCTATGCAGTTGTCTGAATCTGGGAAAACCAAACCCCACATGAAGATGGCCGTCATTTACTAAGGCTCCCCTGTACCCAAGCGCCACTCCATCATGTGATGATACTGCAAACAAAAATGTTGCACCATACACCCTTCAGCAGCCTTGCTGTTGTTGGCACAGTCTTATACCTGTATGAAATCCCTTCCTGCTGGAACATAGGCCTACTTCTTCTATCTCTATCTGCTTCTGAAAGTGACGGACCTCTGGTTAGCATCCTATTTATAGTAACCACTGCTGTATTTGAAGATAATTAAGTTCAACTCATTCTCTTGCTCTAAGCATTTTAGTCATATCTGTTGTTCTTCTATAGACCATCACCAATTTCTCTACGTCATTCTCAGAATATGGAAACACTTAACTTGCTTTTTGAAAAAGATTCAGCATGATGTAGCCAGTGATCTCATTTATTAGAAAATATCAGGTGTTAGCTAGTTTTGGTATATCTCTTTCCTATAAATATTTCACATTCTTTTAATATATTCTTTAAAGAGCAATTATAAACATTTATAAATTATAAATAGTATTTCATGGAGCATCAGCTGGTATCATTTGTTGATCCAAATTAAAGCCTTTCCAAACCTCATCATCTAGAGGAAAAAACTGCATGCCATGTGTACTGTTACATAACCATTTCCACAGTCAGAATTCTGTTGGACTGATCTGATTAAATAGCACAAGAGCAGAGAGATCTTTGCCAAGAATTTGTATAGGGAAAGCAGCATTTTCTGTCATTGCAAAGCATAAAATGCTATTTCAGGATCCATTATTGATGCATTCAGTTAGCAGGCAAAACATGTGAGTGGATGGAGAATTGAGAGGCTGGGAGGGACCTTGAGAGGCCAGAGAGTAGCACTTGTATGATTCATCCAAGACAGATGGTTGTCTATTTCATTCTTAATAATCTTTAGGTAAATGGATTCTAAAATTCCTTCAGTAATCCTCCTGGCATCTAAACCACTTTTTGAAATGTAATTTTTAAACATTGTTTTCTGCTAACGCTTATCAAAAAGTAATTAATGTCTTTTATACCATTAAGGGAAAACATTACAAAGGATTGAAATAGCAGCATTGGTGGGGAGAGGGGTACAAAATCAAAGAGTGTGATTTAGTGCAGCGGTGCTGAAAAGGGCTGCTTTTTCTTTTACAGGTCATTATCCAGCTCAGGAAAACCTGATGTTCCTTGTTCTCTGTACATGAAGGAGCTACAAGGTTTCATTGCCAGAGTTATGAGTGACTATTTTAAACACTTTGAATGCTTGGATTTTGTCTTTGACAACACTGAGGCTATTGCCCAAAGAGCTGTTGAACTTTTTATCCGCCATGCCAGTCTCATAAGACCTCTTGGTGAAGGTGGGAAAATGCGACTTGCTGCTGATTTTGCACAGGTACATTGATGAATTACTACAAAAGAAAAAATGTTTTGGCCTCAATATCATCTATTAAATGAAAGAATGTGTTTTCATCGGTGTTTTTAAAGAGTTGCAGCACAAAGAAAAGTAAGCCCACTTAAGCATAAATAGTTAAAAAAAAAAAGGGAGAGTTTAAAGATACTTTTATACCAGATATATTTTTCTTTGTATTTAACAAAATAATTATCCCTCTCTTTGGTATTTCAAGGTTAAGGTGAAATAGCTCATTCCACAGGAAAGCAGCACTTCCCATTTTTATTTCATATGGGATTTTCTCACTATTTTACTGTCCCAATAGGTCAAACCTTGCTGACCAATAATGTAGGCAATGAAATCATATTTCAAACAGTGAAAAGAGACCGCTTGTTGCCATGTCACCATTCCGAGGCAGTGTTCCCATTCCTTTAAATGCACAGTGGGCCAGGTAGACATAGAGTCTGATTATTTGTTCTCTCTCTATCAGGTAGAGTACAGTTCTTCTCTGTGGCTAGCCTTGAAATCATTTCAGGCTATCTGATGTGTGTGAGAGATAGAATGACATTAAAATAGCAAAACATTATCAGCTCTTATAGAAAGCGTTTTCTTTGTCCTTTAGACAGATTTTTTAAAGCCTTTCAGTAGGCAATGAAGAAAAACCCCAAACATGCTTTCATTAAAAGATTCAGAAACAAAGATGATTGTTATTTTTGTATAGCATACCAAGGGTAAAATCTTTTTCTTTTTGAGACAGAGTCTTGCTCTGTCGCCCAGGTTGGAGTGCAGTGGCACAATCTCAGCTCACTGCAACCTCCACCTCCTGGGTTCAAGTGATTCCTCTGCCTCAGCTTCCCGAGTAGCTGGAACTACAGGCACGCGCCACCACGCCTGGATAATTTTTGTATTTTTAGTACAGACAGGGTTTAACCGTATTGGCCAAGCTGGTCTCAAACTCCTGACCTTGTGATCCACCCGCCTTGGCCTCCCAAAGTGTTGGGATTACAGGCGTGAGCCACCACACCTGGCTGGGTAAAATCATTTTTAAGCCTTTCAAAGCTGTTAGCTTTACTAGTCCAAATAGTTACTGAAATGAATTCTTCATAGCAATTTGCCAGATCCTCCCCACTTATAAAGATAAATGTTAATGTCAATATTTATTCTTGTGTGTATCCGGGAGTGTGTCTTGCTTCATTATTTCTACATGGAGGAAAGGACCTGGACAGACTGCTTGTATCAAGTCAGTGGTTGTCAGGTGCTCCCTCAGACTTGACACACTTTCAAAAAAGGAACAGGTAACACAAACCTAAACTTTCAAGAGCCTGTTTCATTGCAAATTGACTGATGCAGCAGTTAGTCATTTTCATCTCCAAATAATATTCCTGGGACCATTAGACCATAGAAATGAGCCTTCATTTGGAAAATATGCTTGTAGTAGCCACAGCATAAAAACAGAGATTAAACGTTACCATTAATATGGCTCTTTTTACCTTTTACATTTTATGAACTTCATTCTTAGGCACCTGTACATTTAACTTTGTTTTACAGGTACACTTGGCTTAAAGAAAGTTATTTGTAAATAGTGTCTTATTTGTCCCTTACTGGGGTTCCAGATTGCTTATTAAAAACCTGATGATGTACTAGAACCTCCTCTTATTTGTTTAAAAAAAAAAAGTGTGAACTATACTCAGATGGTCTCTGTTCTCCTCTTCCCCTTTCCTCCTTAATTTTGTTTTTCTTTTTGTTTCATCTTCTTTCCCTGGGCTCTCTCCCCTACCAGCTTATTTGCATTCTGCTCCAGCTGGTTCTTGAGTCACTTTCCTGGAGGCAGCACTTCAAGTCCAATTAGAGTGGCAGCCGAGCAGGAGATGGCCAAAACGAGAGTGCTGTAGGAGAGAGGCTTGTTTTTGTTTTTTATTTTAATATGTTCCCTTATGGGTCCTGAAAGATGGAAAGTATTGTCCTTTAACCCTTGCTACTGCCGCTAACACCTGCTCAAAATGCATAGCATCCAGAGGCAGGGGTGAGCTTCCACCTTTCAAAAAACTGCATTATTCAAAATGTTATTTGGCATCCTTTTTTCTTAAGACATGTTGTCTAATAAGCCAAACTTTTCTGGGTCCCTTCCCTTAAGGTAAATTAAACTCATCAGTCATTATTACTAACTTATGCTCAAAGGCCTCTTGTTTCCTGTTTTTTAAACATAGAAGAAGCATTTACACACACAGCATTTACTCACTGTTAAGCCCTGCAGTGACATTTGGTTGCAGCAGGCAGTGTGGTATTGAAAAGCAGATTCCTTTGTTCACCCCTGTACAGTGTGTCCCAGTTTCAAAACATCCTGACACTCACCTTGGGGATGGCTCCAGTCCTGTGGATCATGGGTACAGAAAAGACAGGCGGAGGCACTATCATAATTAATCATATCTGTGATCATTATCTTTGGCAAATATTGTTCTACTGTTATGTCATGGTCTCCCCCACCCACTTTTTAAATTAAAATTAAAATTTCAAGGTTTTATTTCGTTTGGTTTGGTTTCTTGCCACAATTGCAATTATTTGTTGTACCTCAGCTTTTAGCATCACATTTGGTTGAAAGTGTTTTTCGAGGGTCAGTCAAAACATTTAAATAGCATTACTCTAACATTTATATTCATGACAGGCATCAACTGGGGACTAGAGGGCTTTTCAACTGCCTTATTACTGAAAGTTCTATCAATTCATATTCAAAATTAAAGCCATTGAGGTCACTGAAATCAAAAATACACAAATACTCCATGGGTTTAAAAACTGTTCTTGTGATAAAAGTGCCTGCCATTCTAGCATAAATAACAAAAAGAGCTCAAGAAGGGACCTATAGACCAGGTTTGGGAATACTAGTTATTTGCCGTAAAGTCCAATTGCAAAGAGAGATAATGACGTATTTTCAGGATTTCTTTAAGAATCCTAACTTCTCCTCACTGGCACCAGTGCAGGAAAGAGAAAGTAGTTGCAGGGTGCCATCTGGAGGGATCATGGTGAGGGAAGTACCTGACATCCAGCCCCCTTAGGAATCCAGGTCATGGGCACGAGGTGGTTTCCTACAGGTAATTAATTCCCCACTGTGACCACATGGTCTCAGTGCCTACACTGATCACACAGCAGTTCTGAAATCACTAAGCCTGTCCACGACACTGGGGTTCTGCTGATTCTGAATCTCACTGGGATCTTGCCCACAGTGTCCTCTGAAGCACATACTCCCCCTCCACCCCTCAGTTTATTTTCTTAGCTGAAGGAAAGAGTGGCTATTGAAGTTGGTATTAAATTATTTAGTGGTACTTCTAGCAATTTCTATTTATAGGTCTTCTGGTGCCCTTTAAGCATACATTTATATCTATTTCACTTTGTGCCTAAAAATATTAATTTAGAAAAGAAAACAAGACAATCAAAATTCTAATTTTTGTTCTAATTCCTATTGCCTTTTCTTCTCCTGAACAATGTCAGGGCAGGAGTACCCTAGGAGTATCCAAAGAAGTCCTGTGGTTAACCAAATGTCTGTGGTAGGGAAGGAACAGCTATGTAATTAGTTCACCGTGCCTGCAGCTGACCGCTCATTCTCTCCAAACGGGGGCTGGAGAGAAGCAGTTGCACATGCCACTTTTGTATCCGCTGCTAATGGCAGAGTCACCTCCTCTTACCACAACACTCTTGCCCTTTAAAACATGGCCTTTATTGTTTAATGGAATTCTGGAAGAAGAAAATGATTTACAATATCCTAGAGGTCCTTTATGGATAAAAAAATTTTATTTTAAACATTAAACATTTTGAAATTGTCCTGCGGCATAGAAATCTTTTGCATAATCATACATTTTCCAGCCATTCGAGGTCATATTTTCTCATATCGTAACTTTTTCCTAGCCATTTATTTGTTTTAACATTTGGTCCTGCTCAAGTGCTAAGGCAAAGGTTGTCTTTGAAGACAGTGATTCCACTAGAGTAGTTGAGAAATTGACAAAAACACTTCGTGAAAAATATATAATTTCAGTATGTAAAAAACCATTATATAGAGAGAGGTATTTGAATGGAATTATATCAAAGATACAGTGATAATCACATTTTTCCTTTGTGCTCAGTGTAAAGTAAGTGACACATATGGAAAGAAAACAGAAATTCCTACCCAGTGAATAAATGAAACAGGTTCCAAAGAACAGCCTATCACCTACTGTCTTTTGAGTTGGGCACACTGGCTCACAGCTGTTCTGTTTTGCATTGTTGGCAAGAATCCTTTTTCTTCCTTACATTTTTATCTTTATATTTATTTATGATTCTTCATTTTATAGTTTCCCAGCCATATAAGGTTTCCTTCTAGGACATGCAGTATGCAATCCATGTCTTTAATATGTTATGAGAGAAATTAACCTGGTTACTGTTCATCCTCAAGACCATCCCAAGGAAGCTTCTCCAACTCTCTCGACACTGAGGTCATAAGTTTGACATAGCACTTATCATTTTGCTTAATAAGAATCATTATGTGTGTATGTATGTGTGTTTATATATGTTTATATGTGGACATATACACAAATACTTTTGATTTTGTTGATAATCATATTGTTTTAATAAATAAATATCCCCTTCATTAAATTTGAGAATTTAGTGAAGGCAAGATAGTCTAATCATCTAATCATCTAATCCTCATATCTAGCTTGGTACCTAGCACTAAGGCAGTCAAAATGTTTCTCAAATGAGTGATCGATTGGGTCTCTATAGTGTACCCATGGCAAGGAGATTTTAAGCAATTTTTTGTAAGGGTGGCCAGCAGGACAGAAGCCTTAAATCATATGTGCTTCTTGAAGAAAGGTGCTGTACTATCAGGGAGCAGCCTATTCTCAACCATTTTCTAAACCATTCTTTACCAGGGCGCTATTTATAGCAAGAGTGGAGAAGCAGTCTATCACCTGAGTAGCACATATGCAAAAAGTTCGCATATGCACTTGGTAGAAAAGAACAGGTAACCTAATTAATGACAAGTAGAATTTCCAGTCAAAGGAGGAAAATAAAGAGAAGTGAAACCAAGATTTGCTAAATTCTTGAGTTAGGTAGCATATTAATTTATTAATAATTGAAAAGAGAAAAATTTTTAAACACTGATAATAATTGCTGACAATTAACAGCACTTATATGCTATGCACATAAAGCTTTGTGGGATTATCTTTTAATTTGCATTATTCTATTAAGTAGGTATTATTATCTCCATTTTACAGATGAGAGACCTGAGACTTAAAGAGGTGAAGTAACTTATCCAGGGTCACAAACTAGTAACTAGTATCAGCATTTGGAATGCTGATATAGATGTGCTACTAAAAGCTCCAGAGTTAGTCCTTTTAATTACTTGAGCCACACTGACTGATAAAAATTGTCATCATTTATATTGAATGTAAAAAGACTTGTAATGCCTAAAGTATAGGCATGCAGTCTTGAAAATTTTCCTTTTCCTTATTTTTCAATGGATAAATGATATAAACTTTTTCCTTTTATATAACAAAAAATGTTTTTTTTTTATTTTCATGAAGGAATTGTCTCATCTTGGGCCCTCTTAGTAAATAAATGCAAAAATTATGTAAGTGCTTACCTTTTAATAAATTTAGTTGGCCATCACAACTTGCCTTACAGTCCAGATAAAATTAAGTTTACTGCAAGCTACAACTTTCTGTGATCCGGGTCTTTCCCAAATTCCCCTAATGATTCTGACATTACAACAATGGAGTATATTTTAATATTTCAGATGGAGTTGGCTGTGGGTCCATTCTGTAGACGAGTATCTGATTTAGGAAAGTCCTATCGGATGCTGAGATCATTCAGGTAAGACCGAATTCTTTGTTCATACATTCATATCCTCCAGGCAAATAAATCCTTTCTGTGCAGGTTGAACTTCATAAAATTGCCAATATTCAACCATTTTTGATCTACAACAATGGCAATTTCATGATTCATCTTAGAAAGTATTCAAATCAGAAACCCATATAGATATTTATGTAATGACTAATAAATTAGAGGGTATGTGTATTTTCTTAGTCACAGTTCACAAGATTAAGCTGGTAAATTATGCTTTTCTTGGGGAGAATTTTTTTTTTTATTTTTAGCTTCCGATTCTTATAGAAATGTAATACTAGGCAATTCATAATTATATAGACAAGTTTTTCTGAAATGTTCATTTGTTCATTTATCATTTTTAACCCAGTCTGCTTCTAACAGGTCATAAGTTACATTCCAAGATATGGATATGATAAAACTATTGAATGAAGTATTAAAAGAATCAAGTTCATGGCTGAGCACGGTGGCTCATGCCTATAATCCCAGCACTTTGGGAGGCCGAGGCAGGTGGATCATCTGAGGTCAGGAGATCAAGACCATCCTGGCCAACATGGTGAAACTCTGTCTCCACTAAAAATACAAAAATTAGCTGGGCATGGTGGTGCACACCTGTAGTTCCAGCTACTGGGGAGGCTGAGGCAGGAGAATCGCTTGAACCAGGGAGTCAGAGGTTGCAGTGAGCCGAGATCACGCCAGTGCACCCCAGCCTGGCGACAGAGTGAGACTCTGTCTCAAAAAAAAAAACAAAAAAAAAAAACAAAAACCAAAAAAAAAACAGAAGAATCTAGTTCAATGATGAAGTGCAGAGAATGACTATAAATGTAATAGGTAACTTAGCCTAATGCAGTTGAGCAAAAAATTTAGTACTGAGCGGAGAAATCACTTTACAAAGAAACACAAGAGTTGATTCATATTCATGATCTAACAGAATACCAGTATAATAGAGAGAAAAGTCCTTGTCAGTGCTGAACACTTAGATTTTTTTCAGCTCAGATTTTAAGGAACGTTGAATAACATTGAGTAATGACTGTGGTCTTTACTAGCCGATTTTTAGAAGATAAGGAGATGTTATTCATATGGCTGTTTATTTAGTAAATCAGAACTTTATAAGTTGTTTACATCATAGCACAAACAGAAGAAGATATTTTGTTTTTTGAGATGGAGTCTTGCTCTGTCACCAGGCTGGAGTGCAGTGGCACGATCTTGGCTCACTGCAACTTCCACCTCCCGGGTTCAAGCGATTCTCCTGTCTCTGCCTCCTGAGTAGCTGGGATTACAGGAACACGCCACCACACTCAGCTAATTTTTGTATTTTTAGTATAGACGGTGTTTCACCATGTTGGCCAGGATGGTCTCGATCTCCTCTCCTCGTGATCTGCCTGCCTCGGCCTCCCAAAGTGCTGAGATTACAGGCGTGAGCCACTGCGCCTAGCCGAAGAAGATATTTTCATTTAAAAAGGTGGCCAACCCTAAGGGCTGAGGGGATCAACATAATATTTTGTGACCACAGCATACCAGATGGGAGGCCTTTATATAAACTGTCCATAATATCCAAGTGCATAATGGTTGAAGATTTCTCAATAAGGATAAGATAACAGAGTACAGGTATGCAGCTTTCTAAAAACCAACTCAGTACTGGAAACTAGAGGATCAATAAGCAGTATGTCCTTTAAATGATCGCTTTGCTCTCTTCTGTCATCAAGCTTTGGTAGTAGAAACTTCTGGTGGAATATAAGAAATATAAGAATCCAATATTGTTGATTGAGAGGGAATCCGTATATTTTACCTCGCCTGTTTGTAATTAGCACAGGCCTTTTTTTTTTTTTAATGGCAACACAAGAGTCTGGATTTTATTTTTTCTCAAATGAAAGATCACTGCCCATCTGTACAGAGATGAGTTTTAGGAAAACTTAAAGTGAGATCACAAATGCTTTCAGATACCTTCTTTGTATCAGCTCAAATCTTTTTAAAACTGTTTAAGTATTTTGTTGAAGCTATAGAGTTCTGCACTACCAAACATGGGCGAGTTGAAGGATGATGAGGTCCTGAGGTTGCCAATCCATTGGTCATCTGTTTGTACCATAAAAGTTACTTTACTAAAACCCCTGTACAGTCATTTACTCTTGAGTAAGATGGTAACACAGCAATCCTAGCTGGGTAATAAAATGTTGCCCTGGCTGGCTGAGTCAGTTAACATACTGGAGGATATTAACCATCTAGTTATTGAAAAAGGTATGAGAAAAGCTGTGATTTAGCATTGCTATAGGAAGATTTGGCTTTTTTTTTTTTTTTTTTTGAGACCGGGTGTCACTCTGTCACCCAGGTTAGAGTGCAGTGGTGCGATCTCCATCTCAGCTTACTGCAACCTCCACCTTGCATGCCCAAGTGATCCTCCCGCCTCAGCCTCCTGAGTAACTGGGACTACAGGTGTGTGCCACCATGCCCAGCTAATTTTTATATTTTTTTGTAGAAACAAAGTTTCACCATGTTGCCCAGCCTGGTCTTGAATTTCTGAGCTCAAGCTATCTGCCCGCCTCAGCCCCCCAGACTGCTGGGATTACAAGTATGGCAGGTGTAAGCCACCACACCTGGCCTAGGCTATTATTTTTTATAGCCCCAGTCCCATGTTTAGTTGTTTATTGCATTATTGCACGTGCATGTATAAAATAATGCTAATTCAGCCTGGCCAACATGGTGAAACCCCATCTCTACCAAAAAGTACAAAAATTAGCCAGGCATGGCAGCACACATCTGTAGTCCCAGCTACTTGGAAGGCTGAGGTGGGAGAATCACTTTAACCCGGGAGCTGGAGGTTACAGTGAGTCGAGATTGTGCCACTGCACTGCAGCCTTGGTGACAGACTGAGACCCTTTACCGCCCACCACCCACACCCCCCGCCCCAAAAAAAAATAGTGCTAAGTTTCCTGTTTGCTGAGGCAGGATGACCTTCATGTAAGCACTCTTAAAGTTGTGTCATAGTATGGAGATACAAGGTCTGAGGATAAGTTTCACTTAAGACATCTATTTTAAGCCATTTAAGATGGAAATTTTCTGCCAACCCTTTCCAATTCTCACATGAGAGAAAGAATCTCTAAAGGAACATTTAAAGTTTGGGTGACACCTTCTAATACCTATTTATAGAATCAAGAATCGCTTGATCAATGTATAATTTTAATAGTTCTACTTTTTTTTTTATATCTAGCTTCTTATGGCGTAACAGTTTTCAAACTTTTGACCATGACCCACAGTAAAAGATACTTTCTATTGATATTTGGCATATACTTGTATGCAAACACATGAACACACTCAAATCTATATACATATACATGGACACCCATATGTATGGTTCATGAAATAGTAAGTACCCTTACTTCATGTGATAACCTCTAACATTTCTATTTCATTTGATTATTTTAACCCACTAAATTAGTTTAATGACCCACTCATGGCCTGCATCCAGCCATTTCTCAGATTTCTCACGAGGCCCTTAACTCTTGAACTTTAGTTGCTCTAGTGACAGGGAGCCAAGTTTTTTCCTTTCCACAAACTGTGAAGATTTATACCCTTTTCTCTTGGGATTCTGGTATCTCTGAGGTTCCTCCTGCAGATGACGTCTTAGCTCCCAAGGCCTCAGGCACATAAGAATAATTGTTTCTTGCCTATGGAGTATCCTTCATAGCTTGAGTTAATTGAAAAATTCCAACAGAGGTATTTTTCTATATACCATTATATTTCTATATTTATATTGAATCTACAGAAATCTACTGAATTAATCCTAGTGCTTTCTCAGTTGTTTGATGGGACTGATACAACTATTTTATAAAAAGCGTAGGATTAGGATTAACTGGATCAAGAAATAAAACAGAAGTATAATATATTAAGGGGTTCAAATCCAGCCCTGGTCTACAAAGAATGTTTTCAGTCCTATCAGATGAGAAGAAGAGAGATGTGAGCATGTGCTGCGGCCTCTGCCCCGCACCATTGTTGGGAAAGCCCTGGCCCTGCCAGCTTCTTTGCAGTTGTCATGTAAAGAGAATTGACTTGAGAAAGCTTACCCATGTGGCGGGTCCTACCAAATTCCTTCCTAGAGAGGAGTAAATCAGTACAGAGCCATCTTTATTCTAATAACCTAATTATAGGCCCTCTGTTTTACCTACCTGCAAAATCTTGTTAGAGATCTGTCTCTTCTTTAAAATGAGTCCTGAGCAGTTGCAGTGAAAAGCTTACTCTTATTAATATGTGCACTTCTTCCATCTGTGCTGTGGGCTGTGACAAAGAATAGGCATCATCCAAGTTAGACCTTGGCACTTGTTCATGGGTCTCCTCACCAAAGACTCTCAATCAAACCAAAACCAGTTGAATGGTAGTCAGTAGGAGATTGCCTGAATAAAATATGCTAAATTCATAGGATCAAATATATGCAGACATTAACAGTAATATTATTAGTTAATATCTGGTAAAATGAAAAATACTCCCTAGTGCATCACTAGGTAAAACAGGTGACTAAGCAGTATATGGTATGACCTCTACTATTTTTTTTATTGTTTTTTTGTGTGTGTGTGATGATGTCTCGCTTTTGTCCCCCAGGTTGGAGTGCAATGGCATGATCATGGTTCACTGCAACCTCCGCTTCCCAGATTCAAGCGATTCTCCTGCATCAGCCTCCCGAATAGCTGGGATTACAGGCCCCTGCCACCATGCCCGGCAAATTTTTGTATTTTTAGTAGAGACGGGGTTTCACCACGTTGGCCAGGCTGGTCTCAAACTCCTGACCTCAGGTGATCTGCCTGCCTCGGCCTCCCAAAGTGTTGGGATTACAGGCAAGAGCCACCATGCCCAGCCGACCTCTACTATTTTTAAAATAATAGCATCTACTAGCCTCAGCAACATGGCAAAACTCTGTCTTTACAAAAGATAGAAAAATTAGCCAGGCATGGTGGTGCACATCTGTGGTCCCAGCTACTCGGTAGGCTAAGGTGGGAGGACCTGAGCTCAGGGAGGTCAAGGATGCAGTGAGCTGTGATTGGGTCATTGCACTCCAGCCTGGGTGACAGAGTGAGACCCTGTCCCAAAATATAAAATAAATGAATAAAAGTATTTGTTTGAATGGAGAATAAAAGACAAAAAGGAAAAACATGAAAATATCTTTGACTAAGATTGTCACTTGGGGTTTTTTTTAGGGTTTTTATTTTTTTTAAATTTTCTGCCTTATTTTATTTTTATAGTCAGAAAAGTCAAATACTATTTTTAAATCTCTCTTGCATTGTTTTTCCCATTTGAAAATAACCATGGAGCTAAAAAGTAATAAAAAAATGTACTAAAACATTACCCAATAAAGAGCAGGCGTGAGTTGACAAGAAAAACAGGCAGCCAAACAGCCAAAAGCCAGTAGGTTGCAATAGCCACAGAGGGCCTCAGTTCCAATTAGGGGCAGTGGCTGCAGGGGAGGGCAATGGGCTCAGTTCAGGGGTCCCTTCATAATGGAAGATGACAGTGCCAGCTGGAGTTTGAGTCCAGACCACACCCAGCATGTACACACATGCACACGCCCTCATACATACACACACACAGGCCTTAGTAGGTGCTCCCTTCCCCCATCATGCAGCCATCTGCCAGGGGGCACTTTCTTCTTGATGGTGATATTAGTGGACTATTTATGTAAGCCAGCAAGCTTCTTGCATATATTTACATTTTACTGTCTACATTATAGTTTCTCAGGCAGCGGGAATCTTTTCATACTCAGTAGAGAATGCTGCCTCTGAAAGCTTTTGACATTAGTGATTTGCCCCTGGGTGATTTGTATTTCTACACAAGACCCACGTGTCAGAGCTATAGAGACCCCGTCTTTGTCCACCTCTCTGCAGCATGGCATTATTCCCTAAGTAGTGTTTGTGAGGTTGTTACCTCAGCTTCTCCTGGCCAGAGGCCACAAAGCTGTGACCCTTGACATTGTCAGTATAGATCTTTGTGAGGCAAAGGGCAGAAAAGGGAGCAAATGCTCTTCACCAGCTCAGGGGCACAGACCCTGCCTTCAGGCAGGCCTCACCACCTTTGCTCCTGAAGGGACAGCTTGTCCCTGATGATGTCCACAGTCTTCTCGGCTGGAAGCTCATTTCCAGCTAGGCTTAATGAAAGGGCAGTGAAAGCTGTCAGGAGATAGGGGCTGTGTTCTGATGGATCTTTTAGCATGAGGAGCAGTGGAAGAAGAAAACTGTCAATAACTAGAATGTAGTGTTCCTGTCAATTGTTTTTAATTATAGGAGTAATGAGGGTTTTCTAGGTCTACAGTTTGTATTTATGATCCTCTGTTGATTGAAATTCCAAACCTCTGTGCCTGAATGTTTATAGAACTGAAAGAAGGCCGTCTCTGCAGCTTCCATTTTTAGCACCTTTAACACTAAGACCCTCCAGATGCATTCTGTCTTTTCTTTCCGCTTGTGGATCTGGAGCCCTTAACCCATCCCTTGAAATAACGGTTTCTCTGAGGTTTCGGGATTCTTAATTCTAAGTTTCAGATTTCAGTGTTACAGCCAGAAGGCAACCACCATCTTGGACTTAGTTGTTTTGTTGCTCTTTGCTACAACTTTGGCAGTGCTAAGCGCACCCAGGTAAACATGAAGAGTTGAATATTTAGTTTATCATCATTTTTATAATTTCTGACAACTATTATTTGGTTATTTATTTTATACCAAGCCTGTGCTGAGTGTTTTACTGATACTTCCTCATTTAGCCCTCACAGCACTTAAAAGTTAGGTATGATCCCCATGAGGCAATTAAAACCCACAGCAGCAAAGTGGGAGAATCTGGGAGTCACATTTTAGACCCAGGCTGCCTGATTCCAAAGCCTGTGCTTGTAACCACCATACCCCACATCTTATTCCAGAAGTTTCTGTTTGTTTTCTATCTGAATGGTCCCGGAACAGGATTTGAATGCTTACGTGTATCATCCAGGAAAATCAGAAAATTTTAAAGAGAATCTAAACTCCCCACTTTAGTGGCCACCTCCTGCTGCTGAAATGCCTCATCTCACTGTCTTCTGTTGCATTCAGGCTCCCAGACAGTACACAAGGAACACTCAGCCAAATGTATGCTTTTATTCTTAGAGAATGTCAGCCCAAATCCCTGCCTCCTTTCCTACCTGGTCTGCTGGTATAGACAATCTAGACTGAGACAGGGACATTTTTAACCTCTCTACTTTGAACCCAAATCAGCCTCCTGCTTCATTCTCTCCTGGGACCCACATGGCCCCTCGTGCCACAAACTAGGCCTCCCTAAAGAATCTCCATAGAAATGCTCACCTTCTACAGGCCTCCAACACTTTCTCTTCTCTCTCAGAGGCCCTCATTGTGTCCTGTGCAGAGAGCATGGCCACCTGTGCCCTGCCCCACAAAGGGAATCATGTTCCTTCTCCCACTCTTTCATTTCTGTGCTGCTTCCAGACCTCAGTACGCATACTTAGTGGTCTTGCTGCCTTCCCAGGCCCTTCAGCAAGAGGAGGTCAAGATGGGGTGATGGCAAGTGGCATGGAAGAGAATGATGCCTATATCTGTCTCAGGATACCACTGATGTTAGATGTGGACACAGGAGCAGCAGGATTTTTGCCTTACTTTACTTCATGATTGGCCTTAACAAGCTGTCAGAAGACTGACAGCTGCATAGCTATGAATCGTTTAAATGTGAATCTTGCTGAGTAGAAATGCAGTTTTTTTTTAATGAGACCTAATAGTTGACAAATTGACACTACCTTCTGCCTGTAAAGTTCACCCTTGAAAGTGCTGCTATATTTAGAATATTATGCTCTAAGAATGATATTGTGGCATTTGGTGTATCTGCATTTTATAACACCTTATTTCTTTTTGTTTCATAAAGCACTTTAGATGGTTATTTATTTTTTAACTTGCTAGTGTTTAAAATTCCACCTGGAATCAGGGAGAAGGGAGTGCTCAAGCTATGTTCTTTCAGCTTCTTAAAACAAGCACCCAAAACAAAATGTCTGTTTGATGTTTACAGGTAATTATGACAGTGATGCACAATACAGAGTCAAATCTAGTTTTGCTTTTCATGGATTTTTTGACAGTCCTGTTAAAAGGGACAGGTGAGGCTGGGCGTGGTGGCTCACGCCTGTAATCCCAGCACTTTGGAAGGCCGAGGTGGGCGGATCACGAGGTTAGGAGTTTGAGACCAGCCTGGCCAGCATAGTGAAATCCTGTCTCTACTAAAAATACAAAAATTAGCTGGGCATAGTGCCATGCGCCCCTGTAATCCTGTAAGCCACCTCAGAAGGCTGAGGCAGGAGAATCACTTGAGCCCAGGAGGCAGAGGTTGCAGTGAGCCGAGATAATGCCATTGCACTCCAGCCTGGGCGACAGAGCGAGACTCCATCTCAAAAAAAAAAAAGGGGGGGACAGGTGATTACCCAGAAGATTCCATTTTAAAATGAGCTGGTTCTTACCAGGCCTGGCTTAGACAGGCATCTCAGCCAGAAACCTCTGTGTGGGCTGGGCTGCTAGACATGCTGTTATGCGCATGTACTGTTCAGGTTGTTTCCCTCTCCTCGTCTGTCTCCGTCCTTGTCCTTCCCCTTCTGCCCTTCTTTCCTTCCTTGTATCATTTACAGTTTGCGTCAAGAATATATTGGAAGAAAAAAAGAAAAATGTAAATATTCGAACCATAAAACTAACTTAAATTGCTATAGATAAGTTTCAAACTTGGCTTTAAACTTCATGAAGCCAAAGATAAGAGAGAAACAGAATCAGCTATCTGATTCTCATTATCAGAAGGAAGAAAATGTATCAATTCCTAAGAGAAAGTTAAGCATCTCTTTTTTTTTTTTTTTTTGAGACGGAGTCTCACTCTGTCACCCAGGCTGGAGTGCAGTGGCATGATCCCGGCTCACTGCAAGCTCTGCCTCCCAGGTTCACGCCATTCTCCTGCCTCAGCCTCCCGAGTGGCTGGGACTACAGGCACACGCTACCATGCCCGGCTAATTTTTTTGTATTTTTAGTAAAGATGGGATTTCACCATGTTAGCCAGGATGGTCTCAATCTCCTGACCTCATGATCTGCCTGCCTCGGCCTCCCAAAGTGCTGGGATTACAGGTGTGAGCCACCACACCTGGCCAAGAAAGTTAAGCATTTCTTGGCACTTAATTCTAAAGTACTTATAAGGACTTTTATACAGAGAGCTTCATACGGGAAGTACTAAGAGATGGGAGGACCAAAATTCTTGATCACCTTCCTGTTGTAGAGGTAGTATAGGATTCCATATGGCTGCTGTTCGTTAACAATCAAGGACTGTCATATAGGGCTGAACCCCACCCCCACCCCTGGGGTCTTCTCACATCGTAAACTAGGGTTCAAGATGAACCCTACTCTATCACATGGCATGAGCAAAGAATGGGCTCTAATGGAGAAAGGGAAAACTCACAGGACCAATGTACTGCTGAACACGACAACCAGGGACAGCAGGACAGAAGTGAGGGCATGAAGCCAGGTGCAGTGGCTCATGCCTGTAATTCCAGCACTTTGGGAGGCCAAGGCACACAGATCACTTGAGGTCAGGAATTTGAGACCAGCCTGACCAACATCGTGAAACCCCCATCTCTACTAAAAATACAAAAATTAGCTGGGTGTGATGGCAGGCGCCTGTCATCAGCTACTTGGGAAGCTGAGGCAGGAGAATCGCTTGAACCTGGGAGGCAGAGGTTGCAGTGAGCCAAGATTGCACCACTGCATTCCAGCCTGGGCGACAAAGCGAGACTGCCTCAAAAAAAAAAAAAAAAAAAAAAGAAGGCATGAGTCCCGCTATCCTTTGCATCCCTCAAAGTCCCCTTTCAGGGCCTGGGCACACCAGACCTACAATATGAACTTGTGACCCGGTGGAGGGACTTCTTATTACACTTTTTCCCTGCAATAGCTCAAACACGAGAGCAGCCTCGTCACAATGAGCAGGTTAGAATCATGGGCTGGATTTGGAGTTTAGGGAGCTGTCTGGGAATGTCAGTTGCTCAGCATCCAGGGACCATAGGGCTGCAAGATATTTTAGCTTTTTCTGTTGGGGACAAATAGTAACCAGTCTATGGAGAGCAGAGCTGAGGCATAGCCTCGTCATCATTCCAACCCAGAGTCAGTTTCCAGAGGCCTTTAAGACAACACCACCCATTACCCCAGAGGAACTTAAGGTCACACCATGTGAAAATAATTCCGAAAGAGATTGTGATTATATGCTTCAAGTAGCTAAGTGACTAGAGGTCCATTTTGACCCAAAGATAGAATTTGGAGTACCCAGAGAGGTGATAATTGTGTGACCTTCAAATGATGATCCTGTACACATTAGTTTTCTCAGATAGGTTTTTCTGTACAAGTTGTTGACAGTTCAAAATTGTGCTTTCTCTAGAGGTCTTTGTTTCTGTATATACTGATTCTGTGAATCAGCATAGCTGTTCTAGAAATAGGATGAGTAGTTGCTACAGCTGATATTCTAAAAGAGGCTGCATTGCAGAATTAAGAGCCAGGCTGTCTGGGTTTGAATCCTTGCTTTGCCACTTCTAGCTTTTACTGGATTTCTCTATGCCTCTGTTTACCCATCTGTAAAATGGGGATGTAATAGTACCTAACTCATAGGATTTTTAGAAGAATAAATGAGTTAACATATATTTGTTTATTGTATACACTTATGGGGTACAAAGTGATATTATATGTGTACCGTGTGGGATGATTAATTCAAACTAAAACATCACCTCAAACACTTAGCATTTTTAATGATAAGAACATTTGAAATTTATTCTATTAGCAATTTTGAAATGTACTATGCATTCCTACCAACTATAGTCGTCATGTTGTGCAATAGATTTCAAAAACCATCTTCCTCCTGTCTAACTGTAACTTTGTACCCTTTAACTAAAACCTCCCCATTTCCTCCCCCCTTAGCCTCTGGTAACTACCATTCTGTTCTCTGCCTCTATGAGTTCTATTGTTTAAGATCCCACAAATAAGTGAGACCATGTGGTATTTGTGTTTCTGTGTCTGGTTTATTTAGCTTAACGTAATGTCCTCCAGGCTCATCCGTGTTGTCGAATGACAGGATTTGCTTCTTTTTGAAGGCTGAATAGTACTCTATTTTGTATATATGTCATATTTTCTTTATCTACTCATCCATTGATAGACACTTAGATTGATTCCATAACTTGGCTATCGTAAATAATGCTGCATTGAGCATGAAGTGCGCTATCTGTTCAACATGCCAATTTCAAGTCTTTAGGATATGTACTCAAGTGGGGTTGCTAAGTCATATTGTAATTCTATTTTTAGTTTTTTGAGGAACTGCCATACAGTTTTCCAAAATGGTTGTATTAATTTACATTCCCACCAACAGTGTACAAGGGTTCCCTTTTCCCCCACACTCTCACCACAATCTTTCATTTTTTTAAATAATAGTCATTCTGACAGGCATGAGGTGATATCTCATTGTGGTTTTAATTTGCATTTTCCTTATGATTAGTGATGTTGAGCATTTTTTCATATATCTGTTGGTCATTTATATGACTTTTTTTGAGAAACATCTATTCAGGTTTTTTGCACATTTTTAAATTGGGTAGTTTTCTTGCCATTTTTGTGTTCCGTATAGATTTTGAATGTTAGCTTCTTATCAGATGTATGGCTTTCTTCTAATCTATTAGTTGTCTTTTTATTCTCATTATTTCTTTTGCTGTGCAGAAGCTTTTTACTTTAATGTAATCCCATTTGTCTATTTTTTCTTTTATTGTCTCAGCTTTTGGGATCAAATCCAAAAAGTTACCTCCCAGACCAGTGTCATGGAAGTTTCCCCCTATGTTTTCTTTCTTCTAGTTTTTTTTACAGTTTCAAGTCCTTTCAAGACCACACCTTGACTTTTATCCGTTTTTGAATTGATTTTTTATATGGTATGACCTAAGGGTCCAAATTATTCTTCTTTAGATGGATATCCAGTTGTCCCAACACCCTTTATTGGAGAGGCTGTCCTTTTCCCATTGTGTTTTCTTGGCACCTTTGTTGAAAATCAATTGACTGTAAATGTGTGGGTTCATTTATGGGCTCTATGTTCTGTTCTATTTCTTAGTGTTTCTATTTATATGCCAGTACCATGCTATTCTAATTACTATATAGCTCTGTAATATAGTTTAAAATTAGGTAGTGATACCTCCAGCTTTGTTATTTTTACTTATGATTGCCTTAGCTAATCAGGGATTTTTATGGTTCCATATGAATTTTAGGATTATGTTTTCTATTTCTGGGGAAAAAGACATTGGAATTTTCATAGGGATTGCATTGAATCTGAAGATTGGTTTGGATAGTATGGACATTTTAACAATATTAATTCTTCAAGTCCGTGAACACAGAATAGCTTTCCATTTATTTTTTTGTCAATTTATTTCATCAATGTTTTACGGTTTTTAGTGTACAAATCTTTCACTTCCATGGTTAAATTTATTCCTAAGTACATTTATTCCTAAGTATTTTACATTCTTGTAGCTATTATATGTAGGTATTTTCTTGATTTCCTTTTCAGATCATTCATTGTTATTGATTAGATTTGTCTTAATTTTGTATCCTGGGACCTTATTCCTTTATTAGTTCTGTCTTTTGGTGGTATCTTTTTGGTTTTGGATATGTAAGATAATGTCATATGCAAGCAGGTAATATTTCATGTCTTTCTTTTCTATTTGAGTGCCTTTTCTTTCTTTCTCTTGCCTAATTGCTCTGACAAAGACCTCCAGTAGGATTATGAATAAAAGTGCTTGCTGACAGTGGACATCTTTGTCTTGTTCCTGATCTTAGAGGAAAAGCTTTCAACTTTTCACCATTGAGTATAATGTTAGCTGTAGGCTTATCGTATGTGGCCGTTAATTTGTTGAGAGTTTTTATTATAAAAGGGTGTTGAATTTTGTCAAATGCTTTTTCCGCATCTAATAAAATGATCATATGGTTTTTGTCTTTTGTTCTGCTGATACGATGCATCACATTTATTGATGTATATATGTTGACACATCCTTGCATTTCTCCCAGGGAGAAATCTCATTTGATCATTGTGAATAATCCTCTTAATGTGCCGTAGAATTGGATTTGTTAGTAGTTTGTTGAGGATTTTGTATCTTCATATCTATGTTCATCAAGGATATTGCCCTGTAAGTTTCTTCTATGTCATTTTGTGGCTTTAGTATCAGGGCCTCCTAAAACTAGCTTGGAAGTATTCCTTCCTTTTTGATTTTTTTGGACAAGTTTGAGAAGGATTGGTATTAGCTCTTCTTTAAACCTTTTATAGAATTCACCTGTGGAGCCATCAGGTCCTGGGCTTTTCTTTGATTGGAGACTTTTTATTATGGATCCAATCTCTTTACTCATTATTGGTCTGCTCAGATTCTCTGTTTGTTCTATTTCTGTTTTCTATTTCTTCTTGATTCAGTGTTAGTAGATTATATGTGTCTAGGAATTTTATCCATTTTTTTCTAGTTTACTGGATTTGTGGCCATATGATTTGTCATAGTAATCGCTCATTATCCTTTGTATTTCAGTGGTACCAGTTGTAATATCTTCTCTTTCATTTCCAATTTGATTTAAGTCTTCTCTTTTTCTTTTTTAGTCTAGTTAAGGGTTTGTCAATCTTGTTTAACTTTTCAAAAAACTCTTTGTTTTGTTGATTTTTTCCCCTGGTTTTCTAGTCTGTATTTATTTCTGCTCTGATCTTTGAATTGTTTTCCTTCTGCTAACTTTGGGCTTAAATTTGTTCTTCTCTTGTAGTTTCTTGAGTAGGTTCTTTATTTGAGATGTTTATTTTTATTTAAGTATTTGTTGCTATAAATTTCCTTCTTAGAACTGCTTTTGCTGTATCCCATACGTTTTGGTATATTGCATTTCCATTTTCATTTGTTCCAAGATGTTTTTTGATTTCTCTTTTGTTTTCTCCTTTGACCCATTGGTTGTTGAGGGGCATGTTGTTTAATTTCCACATATTTGTGGCATTTCAAAGATTTTTCCTATTATTGATGTCTAGTTTCATACCATTCTGATTAGAAAAGATACTTGATATGATTTCATTTCTCCTAAATTTGTTCAAACTTGGTTTGCGACCTAACATATGACATATCCTGAAGCAAGATACGTGTGCACTTGAGAAGACGTCTGTTCCCTTGCTGTTGGATAGAATATGCTGTATATGTCTGTTGGGTCCATTTGGTCTAAAATGTAGTTCAAGTTCATTGTTTCCTTATTAACTTTCTATCTGGATGATCTGCCGTTGTTGAAAGTGAGGTATTGAAGTCCCCTACAATTACTGCATTGTAAGTTATTTCTGTCTTTAAATTATTTAATATTTGCTTTACATATTTAGGTGCTCTGATGTTGGGTACAGATATATTTACAGTTGTTATATCCTCTTGATGAATTGACACCTTTATCATGATGACTTTCTTTGCCTTTTTTTATTGCTTTGAGCTTAAGTCTATTTTGTCTGATAAAGGGATAGCTAGTCCTGCCTCTCTCAGTTTCCATTTGCATGGAATATCTTTCTTCATACTTTCACTTTTATTCTTTGTGTCCTTAGAAATGAGTTGAGTCTCGGGCCAGGCGCAGTGGCTCATGCCTGTAATCCCAGCACTTTGGGAGGCCGAGGTGGGTGGATCACAAGGTCAGGAGATCGAGACCATCCTGGCTAACACGGTGAAACCCCATCTCTACTAAAAATATAAAAAATTAGCCAGGTGTGGTGGCAGGCGCCTCTAGTCCCAGCTACTCCGTAGGCTGAGGCAGGGGAATGGCGTGAACCCAGGAGGCAGAGCTTGCAGTGAACCAAGGCATTCCAGCCTGGGCTACAAAGCAAGACTCCGTCTCAAAAAAAAAAAAGAAGTGAGTTGACTCTTTTGTAGGCAGCACATAGCTGGGTTTGTTTGTTTGTTTGTTTGTTTGAGACGGAGTCTCACTCTGTCACCCAGGCTGTAAGTGCTGTGGTACAATCTTGGCTCACTGCAAACTCTGCCTCCCGGGTTCACGCCATTCTCCTGCCTCAGCCTCCCGAGTAGCTGGGACTACAGGTGCCCGCCACCACACCCAGCTAATTTTTTGTATTTTTAGTAGAGATGGGGTTTCCCCATTCACAGCATGGTCTCGATCTCCTGACCTTGTGATCCACCCACCACGGCCTCCCAAAGTGCTGGGATTACAGGCGTGAGCCACCACACCCAGCCAGCTGGGTCTTATTTTTTATACATTCAGCCATTTTTTCTTTTACAAATGGAGATTTTATTGCTCTTAAAATAATTATTGATAGGTAAGGACTCAATAATACTAGTTTGTAGTTTGTTCTCTGATTGTTTTGTGGATGCTTTGTTTCCTTGTTCCTCTCTTGCTGTCCTCCTTTGTGGTCTGATTGTTTTCTGTAGTGGTATGCTTTGAATTCTTTCTATGTATGTTTTGTGCCTCTACTCTAGATTGTTGTTTTGTACTTACCATGAGGCTTCCAAAAACCATATACTCATAACAGGGTATTTCAAGCTGATAACACTGAATTTTGATAACATACAACAACTCTACATTTTTATTCCCCTTCCCTACACATTTTAATATTTTGATGTCAAAATATACATCATTTTGTAATTTGTATCCCTAATTTGGGCTATACTTTTGTTTTCTTTTTTCTTTTTTTTTTTTTTGAGACAGAGTCTCGCTCTATCACCCAGGCTGGGGTGCATTGGTGCCATCTTGGCTCACTACAACCACCACCTCCCCGTTCAAGCGATTCTCATGATTCAGCCTCCTAAGTAGCTGGGACCACAGGTGTACACCACCATGCCTGGCTAATTTTTGTACTTTTGGTAAAGACAGGGTTTTGCCATGTTGACCAGGCTGGTCTGGAACTTCTGGCCCAAAGTGATCCGCCCACCTCAGCCTTTGAAAGTACTGGGATTATAGGCATGAGTCACTGTGCCTGGCCTTGAGCTCTAATTTTAATAGTTTTTAACCTTGTATTAGAGATAAAATTATTTTACAGACCACTATTACACTTCTAGGTTTTTCTGAGTATGACTCTATATTATTTATAGCATTGATTTTTGTGTTTTCATATATTTTATTAAATTAGCAGCCTTTTATATCAGCTTAGAGAACTCCATTTAGCAATTTCAATAGGCAGGCCTACTGCTGATGAACTCCATTAGCTGTTGCTTGGGAAAGTTTTTATTTCTTTCTCATTTCTGAAGGATAGCTTTTTTGGTTGGCAGCACTTTAAATATATCATCTCATTTTATGCTGCCCTGCAGGGTTTTTGCTGAGAATCCTCTAGTAGCCATATTGCAAGTTCTTTGTATGTAACAAGTTTCTTATTTCTTGCTGCTCTCAATTTTTTTGTCTTTTATTTTTGACAGTTTATTATGTGTCTTGGTGAACTCCTCTTTGGGTTGAATTTTTAGTACAAGTCTACAGTTAAAACTTGCTATTTAATTTTTCAGTTCAGTTGTTGTTGTCTCCATTTCCAGGATTTCTATTTGGTTTTTGTTATAGTTTCTGTTTTTCTGTCAGATTTCTCATTTTGTTCATATATTGTGTTCCAGATTTCATTTAACTTTTTATTTTTATATTCTTGTAGTTTCCTGAACTTCCTTAAGAGGATTGTTGTGTATTTTTTGTTGGTCATTCCATAGATGACCGTCTCTTTAGGGTCCATTATTAGAGCTTTATTAATTTCTTTTGGTGGTGTCACTATTCCGCTAGTTCTTCATAATCTTCATGTCCTTGTATTGATGTCTGTGCATTTGAGGAGACAGCCACCTCTTCCATCCTTTAGAGGTGTTCTTTAGCATAGATTTAACTTCATTATTTACTTTAGCCTGTGATTCTGGATGAGCCAGCTGATATCAACCCCAGGGAGGCAGAGCTTGCTGTCAGTTTCTCTAGTTGGCTGGGTCTCTGCCTTTGCTCTGAGTTTGGATGCGGCTGCTGGCTGAGCTTCACCTTCCAGCAAGACTACTGGCTGGCCACTGCAATCAGGCGGAGCTGCTGGCTGGGAACTGTGATTGCTTCTAATATCTGGCAGCGTCACAAAGTGTATTTCCCTGTTGGGGAGTATTGCTATTTGGGTTATGCAGTTGGGTAGGTCGGCAGGCTGGGCTCTAGGTTTAGATGGATCACTGTTCTAGACAAGTCCAGAGGTTATGCTCCATAGTCCTTGCCTGGGCTGGACCATGGGATGGGCTCTGACACTAGGTGGAGCCACTGTTTGGCGCTGCTGTTTGGATTTCAGGGTTTGGGCAAGTCTAGCCACTGTTCTCTTCAAAAAATGCACTGTGGTGGGCATCTCTTTTCCTGGGTAGGGCCTTGGGGTGGGCTCTGAGGCTGGGCATAGAGGCTAGTTTTCTAGGGACTCAAGCCAGGTTGAACTTCTTGTTCAGCTTCTGGGAGCAGCCGACTCAGCTTTGTAGGTAGGGTAGATCATTAGCTGATCTCTCTGATCAGGTGCCGCTGCTGGCAGCAACACAGAGCTACCACCCAGATCTGCACACCAGTCACTGCAAACTCCACCTTCTTGATTTGTTTGACACCAGGGGATCTTGCCCTGCAGTTACTCCAGTATTCCCTTTGAGGCAAGACAGTCATGGGCTTCCTTCAAAGCAACTCAGAATGCTAGGGAAGCTAGATCTCTACTTTCAGTTCTCTTTTCCTCTGTAGAAAACGTGGGCTTAGGAGAATCCCCCCTGTGGCTCTGTGCTGACTTGGAGGAGTGGGAGGAGTGATATGGTCAAGGTGAAACCATGCCTCTTACTCTTCTAATGCAGTTTTTATATGGTTCTGTGTTCCATGTAGGTGTTTTCATTCTCATTCCCAAGTTTTAGTGTCTTCACAAAGATGTTCTTGTCTGTGGATAATTGTTAGTTGGATTTTCTGTGGGTGGGCAATGAAGCCGGGAAGTTCTTCTTCTACCATCTTGCTGACTTCACCCTCTATAAAGCTTTAAACTGTGCCTGACACACTGTAGGTGCTATCCTGTTGATAATGAGAATTATGTTAAAACTAGGAGCTTTTACCTAGATGAAGACAATGTCATCCATACAGAGGACTTACAGAGATGCCTACAAACAAATCTGAAATATTCTCAGCAAAGTTTTCATATTTGTTTAGATACTTGAATTATCACCTAAAGCTCTGCAGCATTGAACACTGTGAAATTATTTGGACCTTGCAGATTTTCAAGGCAGGTGCATCACATTTTCAGTGTGGCCATAAGACCTTAGTCGTCTTCTCATGGAATGTCTGGTTTGGAGCTTTATGGCTTTCTGGTGATAGACAACATAAATGACTGAAATGCTTCCCCAGTAGCTAGGGAAAATAAATTACAACATAATGTTATTTGATAAAGATAGATTTTTACTTGTAGAATAGTTAATATAAAGCCATCTTTACTAATAATAATTCTGTATCTAATGAGAACCAGCTATCTATTGAGAACATTCTTGACTCTTGACCTTATCATTAGTATAGGGAAGAAGTTCGCTTCTCTATTTTGTACAGGCCTTCATTCATAATTAGAGTAATTAAGTTGGGGTAAAGAAAGACCCCAGGATACAGTGCCGTTTTACATGGTTCAGAATCATTATCTCATCTGTCAAGAGATGTTGCTGCCATCTTACTACTTGGGATTCAATGTCCACAGCTCCGCTTCTAATCAGCTCTCATCCATAAGAGCTCAAAGCCAATAACAGTTCAAATAATTCTTGCCAGCCTTTTGCACCAGGTGGTATATAATTTGTAGTGGAATGGATTTGCCTGCTTGCTCCTTCTGTAAAATGTGGACAATGAAACCCATACATGTAATATAGTATAAGGGAGCTAGCATAAATTTTTGATGGAGTGTTCAGCAAAGTAATAACTTTGTATATACAAAGACATATTTGCCTTTTTGAAAAGTTGTGTAGAAAATGTTTGCATATACCACATTTGATTATGGTCCAAAGAAGGATTCTATTTTAAATAAAAGCTGAAAGGATTGATGAAGATAAGAATCTGTTAATAACAACTACTTGAAGGCTTTACTCTTGTTCTTTATCTGCTTTTAGCCTTGTAATTAGATGAACTTTATAAGGAGCTTTTGCTGAGTCCGGTGGATGTCAGACTCATAGACCAATGAACCGGGGGTCAAATGGGAGCTGAAGGGTAGATCAGCCTGTGAGCACGTGGGCATGTGGGGGTAGAGGCTTGTGGGCGTCTCAAGGCTGAATAGAGTGGTTAAGCAGTGGAGGGCTCCTTCAGTAGCCAATCTAGGAAAAATGCTATTCTACAAGGAGAATGATTCTCCCACCAAATCACCTATTTCAGTATTGAACAGTGTGAAATAACTTCTGTTTTTCCCGTCTAGACCTCTGCTCTTCCAGGCAAGTGAACATGTAGCCAGTAGTCCTGCATTGGGGGATGTGATTCCGTTCAGCATCATTATTCAGTTTTTGTTCACGAGAGCACCCGCTGAACTGAAATCTCCTTTCCAGGTAATAAATAAAGTCAAGCCAGAACCCTTTTGTGACTCTTCCCATTACCTGTGTGAATCCTGAGCCCCTACTCACTGAATGATTCCTGGCCCTCTGCTGCTTTGTTTAGTTGCTTATGTCTATCTTTGACAGTGAATAGATATTAGAAAAGGAAAACTCCCACTGCTCAGTGTCTTCTTTCTCAGCAGTGCAAAAAATTACCTGATGCATCCAGAATTTACCTTTAATAATGATACAAGTAATTTGTGTTCATAAAGAATTTTTGATGGCAGCCCCATTTTCTTTGCTGACCCACCATCAATTGGCAAATCTAGAAGGCTCCTTGGTAGTCAGGAAGGTGCACCAAGGCCTATGCCCCCTTCACACTTCCCTTGGACAGGTTTTGGGGCAGTTTCACCTTGGGAATACTTGAGAGTGCTTTTCGAACCAGCACTTGCTGCCATTTACTAAAGAATGCGTATGCACTCTCTCTAATTGTGTTTCAACCCTGCAGAGGGCAGAGTGGTCCCACACACGCTTCTCTCAGTGGCTGGATGACCATCCATCTGAAAAGGACAGGCTCCTCCTCATCAGGTAAAGCCAGGTGCTCTGGGGGCACCCATCTGGTCTGGAAGCCCAAGGAGGGTGGGGATGCAAGAGAGGATGAAGGAGCAGTGCCTGGGGGCATGGACATGTGACTGCACCTTCCAGTGGCGGGCCACCTCACTGCCTAGGCACGGGTGCTGGAGCAACCAGCAGTTGGAAATGTTGGCCACAACATCTTTTGCTTTCTTTCATTCCAAACCTTCATATCCCTGATGTGCAATCCTGTGTCCCATGCAACCCTAAGGACCATGCATTTGTACCTTTGAAAATCATCATTTGCTATGAAAAGTTTTGCCCTAGCTCCGCATCTTTTACTTCATTTTTATGTGCTGCAGTTACTGAATTGGTGGAACACAGATGTGAGTGAATTTTTAAAAATACCCAAGTGCGAAACAGTTCTGAGGAGGAAACAAGAACAACCCAGCAGCCACTTGGATACCATGGCCCTCCAGTAGTGCCCCATGAATGCATTCACATACATACGCATGTGCTCTTGCCCACACGTGCACACACCCCCATGTACCCCAACCATGCCCAGGGTGGGGTGCTTTAACTGTCATACATGGCTTATTAAGCAACACTCTTCCCTGCAACTGCTCTCACCATCACCAGAGACCTCTCAGCCACCAAACATTCCCATTTTTACCTTACCACTCTGTAGCTTTAGCTACAGTTGACCGCCATTTCCTTCTGTAAACTCATAAACTGGGACTCAGCACATTTTTATTGATGCTGAGCTCACATTTTATCAGCATGGTAGGCCCTGGGCCAGGAACCGAGGATACGAAGTAAGCCGAGATATGGCCCTGTCCTCTCAGAGCTTGCATTACACCACAGCCATCTGTTTCTGTTCTAACTTCTCTGGCCATTTTTTTTTGTGTGTCATTTGCTGAATTATCTTCTTCTAGCCATTCCTTAAATGCTATCATTTCCCATATTTTCTTCTTCTCATCCTGCCTCTGCCTTGGTTCCCAGGTGAGCTTGTCCAGACCCATGCCTCTAGTGCCCCTTCTATACTTAAGAGCCCTCAGGTCTGTGACTGCCTCTGGATGGGGCCTTGGCCCAGTAAACTTGCTATCATATGTCACCACCCACAGAAATCTCAACCCCAGAATGGTCAAAATAATTCTAATCTTTTCTCTCAAACCTTCTCATTCTCTTATACTCCCTGTCTTGGTTGGGAGGTCACAATCACCTAACTAGCCAAGCCGGAAAACCTTTACATCATCATTCAACTCCTCTGTCATCCTTATTCCTCAAACCCACTCTGTTGCGTCTCTAAAATAGCTCTTGAAGTCATTCTCAACTCTCCCAGGGGATCCCAATTCTGTTGGTCTGGGCCCACTGCACCCAGTGATCCTTTGTTAGCCTGTGTCAGGTGATGAGTTGAGTTCCCTAAAGCCAGAGTGGGGCTGACATGATGAGGTGGTTCTAAACCACATGTGCACACAAGAATCATTTACATAGCTTGGAAAATTCCTAGTGCCCAGGTCTCTCACCCTTGCCTACCTCAGAATCTCCAGGGTAGGCCTGCTATCAGGATTTCTCTATAGCTCCCCAAGAAGGTCCAGGGTGCAGCCAAGGGCGTGAACCCCTGCCATAGTGGGTCATATTTCAGTTAGGATGAAAGACTGCTGAGGAAGCTATGACAGGTCAGTAAGAACCATCAGCCTGTCAGCTTTGTTTCCAGAAGTGACCCTGAGCCCTCAAGCTTGGTACCCACATCCCACATGAGCCACTGGCCCTCTGGGCGTATGTGTGGATAAAGATTAGCTCGGACCCTGCTCTTTTTCCTTGCTTATCTGTTACTCAGCTATGAACATCTGACACAGAAATGGGAGAGGTTACCAGCCCCGGTGAATGTTCCTGGTAAAATCTGCCCTCGGGAAAGGCTTTGGATTTGGGTGAGGAGTTTGGGCCTGGGCTAACACAGGGATTTGCAATGTCTGTGTGGATTATTTTTCCCGAGTCCCAAAGATTCACTCAGCTGCAACACACTCAGTCGTCTTAAAAAGAGGATTCAGTTAATTGAACACGTTCATTTTTCTCATCTTAACAAGTTGGTCATTTTTGTCGTCTTAACAAGTTGGAATGAGTTCATCCAAAACAGTTGTCCTGCTGTGTGTACATCACAAATCTGTTTTCTTTTGCTTCTCTTTAAAAATGTCTCCTGAGTGATTTCATCAGCAGTGCTGTTGCTAAGCCTATATTTAGCAACTGAAAATCATGCTCAGAAATACTGTCATGCTTTTTTAAAAAGGCATATCCATCCCTCCACACATGGCTGATTCCAGAACCTTCATGCCCTTAGCAAAAAATTGAGCTGTCCTTCAGGGTTTCAAAAAAAGTACTGTACTCCTGCTGCACCCCAGGCTCTTGGCAAGGAGGGGACTTTTGTCCTAGAGAATGTTCTTTCTTATGTATTATTGCAAAACAATTTTGTTCTTGCATACTGAAGCATCACTGGATGAATTTCTTTCCCCTGTAGACAAACCGAGGGTGAGTATTGCTCTTTAAATGTCAGTAAATTTGTTTTAGCTTCTGGGGCAAACCTTGTTGTATACTCATTCTGTTCCTCCCAGCATAATATGTTAGGTTGTCATAAAATAGGGCAAATTGAGGATAGTGTAACTACTGCTGCTGAATAAATGGGAAATAGTGAACCATCCTGCCTTCCTGTTTTCTTCTGACACCAGATGCTTTCTGGAGCTTAAATGAATACTAGTCAAGTTCATTTGAAAATCAGAGTAATAACTTACTCATGGGACCAAGTGGTGTAAATGGGGGCAGTTGTATGTGTTCAGCCTGCATCAGGCAGGTGCTCCAGACACGTGTGCTCCCTCAGATGCAGAGGCAGCCGCCTGGCTCGTGCCTGTGGGTAAGTGTTGAATGTGTTTTCAATAAAGATAGAGTCTTTGATGGAAAGATTTCTCAAGCTCTGTAACAGCGGTGGGGTTGGCCTCAAATCCATTTACTCTGGATATTTGCCGTGGAGAGCAACTCTTCTTCTTATGGCCCTCTTTGAGTAGGAGTACACAAATGTTCACAGACCTTATTAGCCTAGTGGTACTTTTATCTACACCATCAGAGAATGCTTGGTGCCATGTGCATCCTTGGATCCCTTGCCCTCTTGCCATGGTCCAGGGTCCACAATCTGGAAGCCATTCCCTCAGCTCCTCTGTACTTCTGCAGAACTCCCAAGATCTCCATCGATGGAGGGAAATGTTTCTCCTCCTGGTACCATGTCACTAGCTACCTATCAGTTCTGTGAATGGAGTGTCTGAAATAGGACGAAGAGGGAGGATGGAACCAGGGAAAAGCCTGGGCTTAACTGCTTATTGAGGCATGTAGTGTATCTTTAAGTCATTTATGCATTTCAGTACTTACTAATCACATTGAATATTTAAATGCCTGACAAAAATCAATGTTGTTTTCCATGAAAACTTCCACTTGGCTAGTTTTTGTCATGTTGAGCAGTGTTGCCATGTTACCACAAACCATTCCTCTACTAATCGTGTTTTTTTTCTCAATAAGGATAACCTCAATAATCTACTTATTTTGGTTACAAACCAGAGTTAAGACTAACTGTTACATAACACTTGGCCTGACTTCCAAGAAAGCTAATGTTTTGCTTAAGCAAATGAAGTAATTTAATAAGTACTCGAAAATCTTGCTCTAATTTCATGTGGGAGGGCAGCTTAATCTTTTTTGCCCCATACTTCTGATGGTGTTTTTGATGACTACCCAAAAATCTAACCAAACTCATTTCTGATCTCTTCTACATGTTGTGTAACTTACGTGATGTCTTATCCTTTTAAATGCCAACGAAACTAAGTTGATTTTTGTCCATCAAATATATCTAATCCATTCACTATGAAATGATTGTAGTTCCTGTGAATTTAAACACTTCTTATACGCTGATACATACACCTTGGTGTCTTAAAGACAGATGAGCCCTTGGGGATTTCTTTACTGTATATGATTCTGTAGGGACTACATTTGGGGAGTGGAGACAATTTCCCAGGATGGCATACCAACTAGAAGCATATTACCAAAAGAAGCAAGTTTTTTTCATAGAAAAATATCTCCATTCAGGGTCAGCTCTGGTTTAACTAAGGCATCTCACAAAACATTGTTCTCTAAGAGCACTAAATTCCATCTTGCATGCCAGTTGAGAGTGGTATGTTAGCTGGGACTTGAAACTGGGTATGTGAGCTGAGTAATGGTATGAACTTACATGTTATTTAAAACAGCTACACTTCTTCTGGCTCACGCCTGTAATCCCAGCACTTTGGGAAGCCCAGGTGGGCGGATCACGAGGTCAAGAGATCGAGACCATCCTGGCCAACACGGTGAAACCCCGTCTCTACTAAAAATACAAAAAAATTAGCCGGGTGCAATGGCGGGCGCCTGTAGTCCCAGCTACTCGGGAGGCTGAGGCAGGAGAATGGCGTGAACCCAGGAGGCGGAGCTTGCAGTGAGCCAAGATTGCGGCACTGCACTCCAGCCTGGGCGACAGAGCAAGACTCCGTCTCAAAAAAATAAAAAAAAAAAAAAAACAGCTACACTTCTTCAGTAAGGGCTTGCCCATCCCCCTGCATACCTGATTTAAAGTACTCCTGCCCTGACCAGAGCATGGAGCCAGCCTTCAGGGATTCCAAAGTGCCGGATCCTACTAAGTCAAGGCTGTTGATACAGAGGTGAGATCGTTTCACAAACCTGTGTGACTCCAAGATGGTTTCCATTCTTTCCTGCTGCCTGGAGTTAAGAAAGGCTTTCCTTAAAAGGGAGCATTGAAGCCGAGTCCTAAGAGATAAAGAGCTGCGCAAGAAAGTAAGCAAGGAAGGGTATTCTAAGGATAAGGAAGATAATGTGCAAAGGGCTAAGAGAATGTGGCTCTTTAACTGAAACATTCAGTATGGCCAAAGATAAACAGGCCCTTTGGCACCCCCTACTTTGTTAGGCAGAGACAGCTTTATTTCATAGCAATGTATGAACAAACACCCTTGATCTTTCCCTAGGTGGGCAGCCAGGTTGGGCCATACAAATGGGGCAAATATGCTTTGCACATTACTTGGTAACACAAAAATGGAAACTAATGATTTGAGGGTCTTTTTAGGCCACATCAAGCTATCTAAAACCCAGCAGTAGCACAGAAAGGGCTGGGAGCAGCTTGATGATGAAGCTGGTATTCAGTTGGGTTGAGTCTAGGCACTGACCAGAGCATGGAACCAGCCTTCAGGAATTCCACAATGCTGGATCCTGCTAAGTCAAGGCTGTTGATACAGAAGTCAGACCTTTCCAGATTTCCTATAAAGAACAGGGCACGGCAAGTGCTGTAATACTTCAGGGGAAATCTCTTGCTATAATATGGAAGACTGACCAGAACAGGGGAGAAACAGCAGTAGGATGCTCACCACCTTAAGAGGCTACAGCAATCATTAGGGCACAAGATAGCAAGGGTTCAAAGTGAAGCGAAGGGGAGAGGAGGGACTGGATGTGGAAATGTGTGTAGCAAATTAATAGGATTTGGTAATTGTTTCGGTGTAGGAGGGGAAAAGAACTAAGAGACCTTAAGTTGATGGTGCCCTTTGTTGAAATAAGGGAAGGCGGGCAGAACGCTGCCCCAATTTTTTGACAAATGAGTTTGAGGCTACCTGGAAGCAAGTCAGATAAAACTGTCCAGAGGACAGGAAGAAGCAGAGATCAGGAGGGGGAGGTCGAGGGCTGGAACTTAAGAGATTTGAAATCCCTTTACGTATGACAGTGGCTTGTGGGATGAAGGGCACTACAAACTGATCAGTGATAGCCAGACTCTGGGGAAATGTTTTCCCCACAATTCAATGAAAAATCTTGAACAAACCCAATTAGATTAGTATTTTCAGTATTTGAGAGCAAAAGAAAACCACTTAAGTGCTATCGTATGTGAGCTGAGTAATGGTATTAACTTACATCTTTATACAAATGCTCCAATCTCAAACTGAAATTTTGAAGAAAATATGACAAAAATGTATTTGTGTACCTGGTACTTAAATAGACCAATAATTAAAAATTAATCTCGTAGCCATTCTTTTTAGCTCCACTTAAACAGACGATCTGGTTCAGGGACTGACGAACTTTTTCTGTAAAAGAAGGGCCAGATATATTTCAGACTTTGCAGGCCACATGGTCTCTGCCTCAACTATTCAACTCTGCCATTGTGTGAAAGCAGCCACAGACAATATATAAATGAACAAGCATCAGGCTAGATTCAGCCTGCAGGCAGTTTGCTAACCCCCAACCTAATCCATGAGATCATAATCATAAACAATGGAATGGTACATCCCCTTGATTAAATTCAGACTGCTTCCCGATCATGTATTTTGCCATTACAGCCCAAGAGCACTTATTCTAGTTGTTGGTTGTTCATAGTTCATCAAATAACAGGAATATAATGCATCTACTGGTGTTACCGAATGTGCCAAAGGGCCCCATCCCCTTGTACTCTTGAGCGTGCCTTTCAGAGGCGCAGGATGCCCCTCGTGAGCTCTGGGAGTAGGCACAAATGCCCATTCCGTTGCCGGTGTCTTCAGTAGGGAAGCAGGGAAAAGGGAAATTGAGAACATATTTACACAGCCAGAGGACTCCGAGTATATGACTAGACCACTAAGAACAATGCAGACTGAAAACATGGTTATAGTTTTTCACACTAAACGTAGTAACCGTAGTAACCATAGTAACACTACCAGTAACTGAGTGAAGGCTGTTGGTCACTTGGCTTGTGAAACCGAGCATTAACAGTTCCAGAAATGAGCTTACTAATAATTTTTATATATTGGTATCCCCTTAACTGTTTTATGTGATTTATCTAATATTTTGACATTGTTTTCATTTTGGTTTTCAGGGGAGCCCTGGAAGCTTATGTTCAATCAGTGAGAAGTAGAGAAGGCAAAGAATTTGCACCAGTTTATCCCATAATGGTTCAGCTGCTTCAAAAGGCTATGTCTGCTCTTCAGTAATGACATGAAATCTTTGTTCATCTCCACTTTGTGCTAACCCATTCATAGTTGGCAGTTAAACACATACTCCAAAAGACTGCTACTATCTACTATTTTAAGAATGTAATTGATTGTTCGGTATTTCCTATCGACGTTTATTTACCTCTTTAGCACTTATACTTTAGCATAAAAAATGTTGAGTTATCACCACCTTTCAATTCCATGGACCTGATTTTTCCAGAAAGATGTTTTCCTCTTTCAGATTTTTGTACAAGGCTAAAATGTCTTTCCCATCCATAACCAAGTCCTCCTATGGGTACATAAACCCAAAGTCCCCACTTCTTTTAAAGGGATATGATCAAGTTATAACATGTACCCTGCTTCCCCCAACCCTGCCTTCTTCACTAAATAAGCATGTAGCTCAGTGGTTTCCAAATTTGGCTGCACATTCATACCAATCACCAGGGGATTTTTTTAAAATCCTGATGCCCAACTTGCACTCCACATTAATTAACATGTCTAGGAGTGGGAGCCTGACAGACACCACTATTAAAAAAAAAAAAAATCCCCAAAATGATTCCAATAGACAACAAAGTTGAGGAACCACTGGCACATCCCAAGCTAAGATACAAGGTTAAATGGCCTTTTTAAGTATGTCATACTGGATCTTTAAATAAAGCAAGGCTTTTGTTACACTTTGTCATGTTATTAAAAGCAGACCTTTGGGCTGTTTAACCGTGTAACAAAAATGCCACGTGAAAAATAAAAATTTTTATTGTATAGCAATTCTCTATAAATAGTAGATAATCTAAGTCCTTATTTTCTGATGGCTCTTGTTCCACTATTAACATTGTTTTTAATTTTTAAAATCCTATCAGCAGCCTCCTAATTAGCAGTGTTAGGAATTTGCCTTATGTTTTCCATCTCATCTCCTGAACCTGTTATTCTGAGAACTCATAAATAAAATTCAGCCAAGATTAATCAATCAATCAATCAATCAGTAGACGTCAGAGATAAGCAACTTTTTTTTCCATTTATTTGAAATAATATACAAGAATATAGTGTGCAAAATTTAGGGGCAACATCATGAAGAAGTGTGATGAACTGAAATCAATTTTACAGCTGTGATTCCTAACCAGAAACACCACTTGGTAAGTAACATGAAAAGCCATGATTGTAGCTCAGAGCAAAAGCAGCTGTATTGCCAATGTATTTGCTCTAATTTTAGACAGTTGGAGGAAAATTAAAGTGCAAGTGTTGCACTGCAGTAAGTGCAAAGTCTGCCCCCACCATAAAGATTATGATGACAAAATATATTTAAGATACATGGCTGAGGAGATACAGAACACGAAGTTAAAAAATACAATGGTGTTGACTGTTTGTTAATAGCACCATTACAGTGACTATATCCCAATGCTATTAACTAACTTTACCTTGGCCTGGGCTAGGTCTCCATTGGAAATAATAACGGATGGCTGCTGCCACCTGGTGCATCAACTCAGCATGCCATGGTAACTGCAGCAGGTGGCTCTTAGGCTGGGACACCAACACCAGCCACCTGCCCCATGTTCTGGTAGCCTCTTGGCACTGACCAGACTAGGAGCGCCTATGTTTGGCACAGATGCTGAGCCATGTGGTGGTTACTAGAGGAAAGGCCGACTCCCAGCTTCTGCTTCATTTCATCATGTGTACAATACAGATTAATAAGCAGTAAGGAGCCAATGTATAAACAGCAGTTACATATTTTTTAAATTCCCCTTTCGTACAATTTAAAATAAAACATGTATACACTTCTCCTCTCTTTCTACTGTACTTTAGCACCACAGGATATCAATTTTCAAGCCTATTATTACCTGATAGACATATATGAAGTTTGGAAGAAAAATAAGGCAATTTGGTTTAAAATGTTGATAGTTTTAGCTTAATGCTCTAATGGAGAAAGCAAATCCTCACTCATATTATTAAATCATTTCAAGACTCAATGCTATCAGTATCTTATGGTCACACGAATTGAGGACAAATGGTGAGACCTTGATCTTCTTAAGTCTTTCCATCAAGAGTCAATGTATATGCAAATATAGACTTAAGAACATAAGCATCCTGGTTTAATGTTGTTGTGAGCCCTGTGGAAATAAAATTAAACTCAGTGAATGTTTACAAATCAATACATAGTAATCCTATATATGAAAGCTAAGATGTATAAGATGTTTATAAATTTACTATTAGAAAATACTGCTTTCTTAAAGGTGATTTTAAAAAGCTAGCTGATATCTGATGGCTCAAGCATCCAGAAAATGTATGCAATGATAAGACATTGACTAGGATGAACAGAAAAGGGATACAGGAAAAGTCCGAACACATGAAATTCTAAATTAACCAAGAACTGCCAAAATTCAGTTCAGCCACCCTCTCATCTGACTACTGACTGACCACTATTTTTAAAGAAATTGTGAAAAATTTAAACAGATATGACCTGCATTTTACTAAGAAACAGGCACATGTACACAATGAATTTAAAACATCTTTGGCCAGCCCTCCTACTATAAAAATATTGATATCTTCCCTTCATCTTTCAATGATACTTCAAATTGACCCCACTATATCACATGTAATTTTTTTGCAATTAATCTAAAAACGCTGAACCTAAAAGATGCTAGTTTAGTAATGGAAAAGTTATAAGAAACAAGTCTATCCAAGATAGCTTATCATATAGACTTGTTTGCCACCATTCCTGGGCCTATTTCTTCTCCTCCTTGAAATTTTTCAATCTAGAAATTCTGTGCCAATGGCACAAGTCCCCATGAATGACAGCTAACATACCCCAACACCTCCAGCCTTATTGGTCCCTCACCAATTAAGGAAAAAAAGCTGTTGAGACAATCCCAAAATTATTAGAGAAATTTTCTACTGTGATATTAATGGATTAATAATGCTTATCTTTCAACCCAACTAGAAACACTGCATTCCAAAATTATTTTTCCAACTCAATGTTTAGAACAAACATTCTTTTGAAGTTTGCCTGAGATTTCGACTTGCCATGCTATGAGAGTAAATGACCCTTGAGGAAAGGCAGTCTTTATATGATGATGTGATAACATTATTAGGTTTTGAAGTATAAAAATGCTAGAGACAGCATCAACACAACCTCTTAAAGGTTGTAACAACTGCTCCAACATGCCAGTACACCTGCACGGATAAGGCAAGATAATTTTAAACACTATTTATTGAAACATACTGAATTGGTTCTTTTCCTCTTCCAACAGTCAGGATTTAAACGTTTCTGTTCTTCAGCCAAAGCCTTTGCTTCTAATGTGTACATTCTTCTCTCTTCATTCTTCATTTTCTTCCACCTGTCACCAAGGATCACACTTATGGCTCTGTAAAATAAATATTTACACAATGCTGAAAGCACACATTTTTCATAAATCTCATGTCAAGTGCTGCTACTTCAGGAGAAAAATGTGAAGTTAAAAAAGATGAAAATCTTGTCTATCACAGAGATGGGAAAAGGTCAAGGCCATAATGCTCATTTCCAGTAAAATCCCGAATCAAATAATCCATTGTTCCGTATCAGCAGCATGAAGTATTCAACTTGTACTAAAAGCTAATCTATTTGTGCCCGTAACCTATCAAATAGTTTTGATAAAGGTCTTTTCTCATTCAATCATAGTGGAAGTGTAGAATTAACTATGCATATCTTACTATTTCTCTCTCAAGAGAAAACCAAATAAACCTTTAGACAGTATTTTTTATTACTTGAGAAAACTGGATAAACTCAAAATGCTAAGAAGTTAAACTGATAAGACTACATCATGACAAATATTAGAAGCTGTTTTCTCCTGTTTGTTACTCTGCTATGAAACCTACTAAAACAGTCTCACCTAGGCACACAGATGTAAACCACCTTCCTTCTATGAAGAGCTTTCAGCCATTCACTTCATGACACCCATATAAAACATAAGGTCCTGGAAATTTTGCACAAAGCACATCAAGTGATTTTTATACTGACTGATATGGAAGCCAAAGCAACAGGCATTTGTGCCTTCGAACAGTAAACCACAGAAGCTCTCCTACAAGTGTATTTGTCTTTTTATCCAATAACTTAATGCAGTTAAACATTGTGCTGCATTTTCCTTAATTATAAACCAATTTTTGGGCTGGACGTTGTGACTCATGCCTGTAATCCCAGCACTTTTGGAGGCCAAGGCGGGCAGATCACTTGAGGCCACGAGTTCAAGACCAGCCTGGCCGACATGGTGAAACCCCGTCACCCCATCTCTACTATTTGCCAGGTGTGATGGCACACGCCTGTAATCACAGCTACTGGGGAGGCTGAGGCACTAGAATCGCCTGAACCCGGGAGGCAGAGGTTGCAGTGAGCCGATATCCCGCCACTGCACTCCAGCCTGGGGAACAGAATGAGACTCTGTCTCAAAAATAAATAATAAAATGATAACCAATTTTTATATTCCATTTGCAGAACCCATTAAAAAAAAAACTTTTAGTCTTGGGTTACAGGTACCATATAATGGTTGACACATTTAAACAAATCAATAAATATTCACACCATCTCAGTCATCCACAGTAGGAAAGAACATGAGATGTTTTTGAAGGGGGTGGCACTTGCGAAACATTTATTATTTTAAGCTAAAAGATGACAGGTAATGAAATGTACACAATGCTGTAGACTATACTCTGTGTTCCCTAACAAATGTAAAATATACACATCTAAAGATTATTTCTGCAGTGAATGTTACATCCAGATGGACATTTATAGCAACTTAAAATGAGCTACATGTCTCTGACCTGTTCTAGTCTCCATTCCCTCAGAATTTGCCTCCAAATGAGAATTTATTCATTGAATTAAGGCAGCTTTATTAGAGACAGTGAAGAATCCAATTTCAAAATTATGATTTATCCCATTCAGTTTAGAGATAGGTGATATCTGATGGCCCTCAATGTTAGATGATTGATTACCAGTATATCACATGGGAGCAATGCTAAAATGCAAAGAAAATACCAGATTTGGCTGGGCACGGTGGCTCACATATGTAATCCCAGCACTTTGGGAGGCAGAGGTGGGCAGATCACCTGAGATCAGGAGTTCGAGACCAGCCTAGCCAACAAGGTGAAACCCCATCTCTACTAAAACTACAAAAAATTAGCCAGGTGTGGTGGTGCATGCCTATAGTTCAAGCTGCTCAGAGGCTGAGGCAGGAGAATCACTTCAACCTAGGAGGCAGCAGTTGCAATGAGCCGAGATCACACCACTGGCACTACAGCCTGCGTGACAGAGCAAGATTCCATCTCATAAAAAAAAAAAAGATTTTTGAGCAATAAAGGGTATAACCTGATTTAGAGATCCTATAAAAAGATCAGAAAACAAAACATCTAAAGATAAAATGAGATTTACACCCCTTATAATCAGGATAGTCCAGTTCCCCAGAATTGGAAATAAATACAGAATGCATCCCAGCTGACATTCTCAACTACTGGCGGGGAAGAGACTTACAGGGACGTGAATCCTGTTTCTAGATGTCAAAGGATATGTTTAATAATTAAATACCAGAAGTGTACAAAAAGAGAAATGCAGCATGTACCTGTCACTAAATCTAAGGCCAGTCATTTTCTCAGGAAAAACAAATTGAGCAAGGGGAAAGGTACAAATTACTCTTAAAATGTCTTTAAAGCCTAAAAGTCAGTCACAGAAGTAGACTTCCAAACTAACTTTTTTTAAAAAACACACTTAAACCCACTCTTTTTACTGAAGAAATGGATTACAACTTAAAGATTAATTGCCAAAAGTCACACAAATGACTGACAGATCCAAGAGTTAAAACATTTCAATAGTATTAAAAAGCCTCTTAGCGCTGGGCCCGTGGCTCATGCCTGTAATCCCAGCATTTTGGGAGGCCAAGGTGAGCGGATCACTTGAGCTCAGGAGTTTGAGACCAGCCTGGCCAACATAGTGAAACCCCATGTCTACTAAATATGCAAAAAATTAGCTGGGTGTAGTGGCGCATGCCCGTAATCCCAGCTACTCGGGTGGCTGAGGCAGGAGAATCGCTTGAACCCACAAGGCAGAAGTTGCAGTGAGCCAAGATCCTGCCACTACACTCCAGCCTGGATGACAGTGAGACTCCGCCTCAAACAAACAAAAAAAGACTCTTAGAATTCTTGACTCACTAATTACACACTTATGTGTCTAAAGGAACTAGGACAAAGCTATTCATTACTGTGGTAACACAGTAATGACTTTTCTCATGATATCAAGATAAAGCAAATGGTAGTTTTGATCCTCAGGGTACAAAGACTGGAAGAAGACAGCGTTATTAATATATGGAGAACTTGACTGGTTTGAGAGGGATTCAGCAGTAGAGGACTCGGAGATGAGTAAGGGTACAGGCAACAGAGTAGGAAGGACTTGAGTTGATTTTTATTTCCAGCTTCTACTGAGGACAGCTCTTAAGTTCACCGTTTTGACAACTCTGGCAGCTTGCTACAAATTGCCAGTTCCCCGTACAATCCATAGTTGACTCAGGTGAAAAGCTGTTCCATAAAGATAGAACTGTTAATTGTTAGAACCGTGTCCTCCAACAGATAAATAACATGATTTTAAAAGGTAGATCTTGCACTTTGGGAGGCAGGCAGATGGCTTGAACCCAGGAGTTTGAGACCAGCCTGGGCAACATGGCACAACCCTATCTCTACAAAAAATACAAAAATTAACTGGGTGTGGTGGCATGTGCCTGTAATCCCAGCCATTCAGGAAGCTGAGGTGGGAGGATTGAGCCTGGGAGATACAGGCTACAGTGAGTTGCGCCGCTGTACTGCAGCCTGGGCTATGGCACAAATAATAAAAGGTAGATCCTTACTACTAAGGTAGATAACCTAATTGTCTATGTATTATAAAATAATTACATATAACCCTAAAAATTCCACTTAAACTTTTTACTTTAAAGTCAACCTGGCCGGGCACAGTGGCTCACGCCTGTAATCACGGCACTTTAGGAGGCCAAGGTGGGTGGATCACGAGGTCAGGAGTTCGAGATCAGCCTGGCCAACATGGTGAAACCCTGTCTCTACTAAAAATACAAAAAATTAGCCAGGTATGGTGGTGGGCGCCTGTAGTCTCAGCTACTTGAGAGGCTGAGGCAGGATAATCACTTGAACCTGGAAGGCGGAGGTTGCAGTGAGCTGAGATCGTACCACTGGACTCCAGCTTGGGTGACACAGCGAGACTCCGTCTCAAAAACAAACAAAAAAGTCAACCTAAGAGTTGAATAAAAGCTATTAAAGAATAAGTTTACTTAACTATTCCAGTTACCATGAACCGTATTGAAGTGTTACTCATTTATTGTAATCAGAATTATCACTATTTTTACCTGTTATCTTTCCCTGGATACATCTGAGTATATTCAACTCTGTATTTTTTGGCAAAAAGCATGAAGGCATTCATTGGTCTTTTGCACTTATTAGGAGAAGTGGCACTCACAGTCCCTGAGCTGTGGTTTTTGACAGCTTTAGCATACAAAGAATTGGAAGAGAGCTGTGATGATCCAGGTGAGCCACAGTTTTTACTGAATCCAGATCTTGCAAAGTCTTGACCACCAGGTCCTCCACAAGACAAAGATGCACGACGCTGGCGAGCCATACTACTTAACACATAAACTGCAGAAGAATCCATAGGTGTGAAGTCATAGCTATAAAATTAAAAAAAATAATAATATTTTAATTCAATTTTGAATTCTCTGATTTCTAAAAAGCAGGTTAAAAAAAAAAAAAAGAAAACATCTGATTGGAAATTTCAGTGCATTTCCCCCTATATCATGTTACCAACACTAACAACTTTTGCCACTGATAGTTGCTTATAAAATGAAATCTGTATATGTGCTAACTGAAATTAATTTTTTTAAAAAACCTCTGCAGATAATACAAAAGCTTAAAAAAGACTTTGAACCCCCCAAAGGAATGTTATAATCAGCATACTTTATTCATAGCAAGTAACTCCTCCAAATCCTACACAACCCACTTATTCTTACTTTAAATTCATTTCTGGACAAATGTGACAATATGGTTTCTTGGCCTATAGGCACCCAGACCTAGAAAATTAAAATGGAGTGGCAGGCAACATACCAGGCCTAAGGACTACTATAGAAAACAAATGGTTGGGAAAGGCAGTGAAAAGCTGTTAAATGTGGCTAAAGGAACTTAAGGACAGGCCTGGTGGCTCACGCCTGTAATCCCAACAGTTTGGGAGGCCGAGGTGGGTGGATCACCTGAGGTCAGGAGTTTAAGACCAGCCTGGGCAACATGGTGAAACCCCATCTCTACCAAAAATACAAAAATCAGCTAGGCGTGGCAGCACATGCCTGTAATCCCAGCTATTCGGGTGACTGAGGCAGGAGAATCGCTTGAACCAGGGAGGCAGATCACAGCACTGCACTCCAACTGGGCAACAGAGTGAGACTCCGTCTCAAAAAAAATAAAAAACAAATAAAGGAACTTAAAATGCCCAGTAATCTGGGTCATTTGTTTAGGTAAAGAGAGCCATACATACATCAGTCTCCCGAAAGGCCATCCATGACCTATAACATAGCCTAATAACATAAAGTTCATTGTAAAAACCTGCCTTTGTCAGGAAAGGCCACATTTTGTTCTGTATGTTCAGTTTACATAGACATGGAAATAAGCTAAAGAATTCTCTTTTGTTCCAGCATTAACTCTCTTTCTGCCTATAGTACTTTTCTATCTTCTTGGCAGGAAACCTTTTATTCAGCTTCTAATCTGAACCTAGCTCCTACTTCCTTCCCTGAAACAGAAATTCCGGTAATACATCAAAATAGTTTAATATTAGCTACAGGAATACCATCTACCTAAAGGTAAAACATGAGATTACAAAATTCTAAAGATAGATGGAAACAGCCAAAGGAATGAGGGCGGTCCATGCCACTGACTACACACAGTAAATGACTTCTACCACTTATCAAGCACACAATGTCTTTTTTCTGAAAGTATTGCATGAAATAAATGTACTTAAACTATGACTCCAAAATTACCTCATGAATGCTTAGCAATCAGTATTACGTCAGGAAAACAATGTCTGCTTTCTAGGTTTGCAGTTTTTGTAAGATATCTTCAGCCCCTCCCATACATAATTTAGAAAAATAGCAAACTTCAGCACTGACACAAAATTACCCATCTCTACTGATGGAAAATGATTACAATTTAAAATACTAAAAGATACTGGGTAAGCTAATTACTAAAATTTGAAAACTCCACCATCTAGTGGCACAAATATAACTTATCATCTACTTCCATTATGGATACAACTTAAATCAGTTTTAAATATTCAGTCACAAAATTCAATGACTAACATTACTGCAGCAGTAATGACATAGAGTATCTTTAAAAACAGCTTCATCTTTTGCTATACTACCTTAGGTAAGCATTCATTCTCTTCACTAAAGCACCTGTACCCAAATGTGCCTTTCACAGCTCTACTTTGTGTACATGCCATTCCTTAAGCTTAGAATGCCCATTCTCACTTCACTGTCTAATCATTAGTCTTAATGGCAAACTCCACAATAATGTAGTGCCTATTAACCATGTCACATATATTAACTTATTTAATCCTTCCAATATTATCCCCATTCTACAGATTTTTTTAAAGGAGCCACAGAAATATTAATTTACTCAAGCTTCCATAGCAAATCAATTGCAGAGCCAGGATTTGAATCCAGGCAGTCCAGATCGAGCTCATGTTCCTATCAGGCTACACTGCCTCTCAATCAGCGTGTACATCTACTGTATACATTTACTAATCCATTTCCTTCTCTAGATTGGAAGCAAAGAGGTATGGCCATTCTTAACTCATTTTTTAATCAATTCTGAATAACATAATAATGGAAAATTTTAACTGAGTGCAAATTCCAGCTAGTAATATGACCTTGGGCAAGTTAAATAAACCCTGTAGCCTCAGTTTACTTATCTGTAAAATAAATCTATGCTATGCAGTGGTGCCAAAAAGAACAATAAACATAAGACACAGGGCAGAGGCTGGCACAGTGTATTTTGCCATTAGGAGTATCTATTATTGTAGAAGTATCTTAGGTGAGTAGCTAGAGAACTCAAAATTTGGAATCTTTACAAGATATGGGCTTGAATCCTAATTCTGATACTAACTGCCTTTGTTTTGGGCATGTTCCTTAACCTCTCTCAACTTTACTTCTCTCTGTAAAATGAGGATATAATCTACAAATAGGGTAATTAATATTAAATAAATTAACATTATATATATAGTAGGCACTCAAGTTTGTTAAATCATATTACCTGAACAGAAATGTCAACTTCAAAGAGTCAAAACTGACTGTTTTAAACCCGCCTGAGGCCTAGAAGGTTGGCCTCAATTCTCAATGTTTCAGAATGGGCTACTTACAACAGAACCTTGAATTATGTATGAGAGCTCATCAACTGATTGCTGACTTCTGATTCTTCCTGAGCTAGAAACTACTCACATGTCCTCTGTAAACCATGACCCGAGAATTTGCTTGGAGCAGTCCAACTTGGACTTTTTCCTCTTCTTACCTCTTTCTCTTCTTGCCCTCCCCCTAGGCCAGGCATCATCTCCCTTAACCAGTCTAATCCACAATGAAAATAAAGTCACTTTCAGCTTCTCAATTTTTTCCTGGTTTCTCCATGATGATACCACCCATTTCCACTCCTTTGCAGGGTGGGTGCTCCTGCTGTTATATTGAAGTCACTCAACAGTAAAATGAGACCAATGACTAACATCATCTTGGGAGTGATTATTATTCAGTGAGATCAAATGGTAAGAATTTGCTATCTCAGAAAAGCAGGAATTAGGCAGGCAAGTTTTCCCTTTTACTTTAAAAAAGTTTGGTGCTATGTAATAATATGTAAACTTTACATATATTTGTAAGTTATGAAGCATACAAATAAATGAGTGAACCCACAATCCAAATTAAGAATAATATTTCCAGTATCACTAAGTTCCATATTTGCCACCCCAGAAATAACCACTCTCCTGAATGTTAATCATTCTTTTTCAATAATTTTATTATGAAAATATTACTCATAAATACAACATATAAATACTACAGTAGCATTAGTTTTATTAATATCTTTCTTAATATATAAGATACAGTGTTTCATTATGCAGAAATGACTGCTATCCTTTCAAAAGTCTACTTACAAGGTTGACCCTTGACTAATTTCTAGAACTTGGATTTTGAGGGGTCCCATCATTCCCACAACTGAGAAGAGTAGTTTACTGTGCCTAGACTGGATATACAAACAACACAGTTTACTCTGAATGCCTGCTTTCCTTTTGGAAGTTTGGATTTTGTTATGTGCCAAGCAGAAGAAACCTACGTGACTGCTCTCAATAAAAACCCTAGGTGCCAAGTGCGCCTAACAAGCTTCCCTGGGAGACGACATTTCATATATGTTGTCACAGCCCACTGCTGGGGAATAAAACATGCCCTTAATTCCACTGGGAGAGGATCCCTGGAAGCCTGGCTTCCCTCAGACTTCACCCCACATCTTTTCCCTTTCCCAATTTTGCTTTGTATTAGTATTTTTTTGCCATAATAAGTCACAGCCATGAGCACAACTATGTGCAGAGTCTTGTGAATTCTCTGAGCAAATCATCAAACCTGGGGGCTAGTCTTTAGGGACCCCTGACATAATTATATAATGTGTATTACAAACCATATATAAGGGTTATTTTATTTATTTCTAAGGAACATGATTCCATAAAATAGACTCATACTGTATATTTCCAAGACTTATTTTTACTTAACATTGTTTTAAAAATTGATCCATGTTTTAAAGTTTGTAGCTAAGGTTCATTCATTTTCCACTAATTCCACTATATGATTATATCACACTTCATGGATTCACTCTCCAGTTAATAAGTATTGATACTGTTTCCACATTTTTGCTATCATGAGTAATACAGCTACAAACTTACTTGCACCATCTCCTTGAGCATGACTACAAGAATTTACTTCTCTAGAATATATATAAAAGAGGAATGAAACTGCTAATACTCACCTTTACAAGATAAAGCCAAATTATCTTCCAAAATTTTTCTATCAGGTTACAGTCTCACCAAAACATAGGAGTTATCATTAATCTATATATCCTAAGTATCAGTCCTTAAAATTTTGACTCATTTTTCTAGTTTTTCAAAAAAGAGTGTATATGAGGGATGTAATCAAACAGCATTAAGAGCATAAGCTTGTAGACATTTATCGAGCATGTGGCTTGTGTCAGGCCCTATGCAATTTGCTTTTTTAATAATAGTTTCACTCATCCTCATGATATATAAAACATACTAATTAAACTGAATGAAATAAAATCTACAGGCCAGCAGGGACTCTTGAGAATTCTCTACTTAGTGCCAGTACATGCCTATGGATTTGATAATTATCTTAAAGAAAGAATGAGTCTTTAAATCCCAGATACCTACACACAGACTTTCTCTGGGTTCCTTCTAGGAGCAAGGTGGCCAATTGTTCCAGTTTGTCTAGGACTGAGGGGTTTCCTGAAAGCTAGACTTTCAGTGCAAAAACCAGGAAAGTCCCATATAAATGAAGATAGCTGGCCAACCTTCTGGAGTCAGGACACATGGGTTCTTGTCCTTTTCTGCCACTTACTAGCAACGTGATCTCAGGAATAACCACTTCCCTCTCTAAGCCTTTCTAGATGTGAAGTTTAGGCTATTTTCTACTATTTGTTAAACCATGCAACTAATGCCCTTGGTCAAAATGAGTATGAAACAAAGATACAGTTAACTATTATATCAAGAAAAATACAGTTAACTACAAAAAACACAAGAGATTTATAAGCTGTTTAAGAACAACTGGCCAGATATCACAACTTTTTAAATGTAACTATCAAAGCTGAACCATTAAACTCTTGGTCATGTAACATGTGATATTCTTCCTAATCTAATCCTAAATGTTTTATAAACTCAATTTTCCTATATGACAACTACACGCAAAACTCTCTGGTAACTATTATACTTTAATTACCTAATATGTTTTCATGTCATACTTTCCTCTTAATAATTCTTTTATAATTCTCAAATCTTTAAAGACTGAACTTCCTAAATATCTGACTTAACCATCATTAGGGAAATGAAGGGCAAACTTTAAGAGGAAAATAAAACAAAGAATTAATCCAATATTACCTTTTAAATGTATCAAAAACACCTGAATCATCAAAATTAATGGCATCGGGGTGTCCAGGAGGTAGACATACATCGCCAATATGAACTTCACAACATGGAATGCCATGCTGTACCACAGTCAAGCTTGGATAAAATGATGACCAACCTAAAGTTAAACAATGTTGCATAAAGGATGAGGACTCACAGAAAGCACCCTACTTTAGAACAGACATATCATTTCTATATCTTAAAAATAAAATGTTATTGCTAAGTCTCAAGAGATTCTCTAACACAAGTCATGTATCTTTACAATAAAGTACTAGATAAGTATTTCCTTTCAGCAATGTAAAAGCCCTCCAAAACTAGCTTATTGTTCAGCATTTTATTATATATAGAGCTCCTCTATCAATCAGCACTTCCATCCGTCTACAATGACAATGAGCACTTCCATCAGTCTACAATGACAATAAGTGATAAATGACTGAGACCATGAAATAGTCTCTGAATTATAAAATCATCTTTAACATGGTGTTACTGTAATAAGGCTCTGAAGAGTGACTCAGGTTTATATCATATTTGGTAACTCTTAATGAAAATGTGATTACTAGATCACTACATTACCCAAACTATACCAAGATAATAGAAAGCTTATTATACTATGCTACATGAATCTAAAAATTTCTCATACAGGAAATAAAGTTCCACCTGACTGCTAAGATACTTACGCACCATTAGGTATTATTATAAGCATTCCCTATGGTAGTTTTTTATTTAGTTTGAAAGACGTTTTCCCCTCAAATTTTTTCTTAATCATCAAAGCTACAGACATAATTACAGATTTAAGAAGCTTTGTTTAAAAAAAGTTACTACAAATGCAATTCAAGCCCTACCTTTATTTTTAACATAGAAAGGGTGGTCCAGCTTACACTCTACGGTAAGTAAACCATCTTCTACTGTACCAGGATCAAAAGTCAACTTCAGTACAGACTCGCCAAATGATACACTTTCTTCATGTGATAACAACTTTAGACCATCAGAACCATAGCCCTGAAAATATATGCATAGCGTGAATGAATTGGAAATGTTCAATTCAAAACACTGTGAAGTTCCCATTACATGTAAGACTTTGTGGAAAAGGTAAAAATAACCAAGACAGGATCCCTGCCATTAAAGAGCTTTCAAACCCGGTAGTGAAGAAAGACACATATATAAATAACTAGACTGGAATAAGCACTTACACTCAAGTATAAATAATGGTGATGCAGTTTAATAAAGAGTTATTAATACCAAAAGAGAGATTAAGGAGGATTTTCAATTCCAACTGGAACTGAGATTTAAAAGAAGAATGCAATTTAGAAAGATGCCTTGCACCAAGAAATTTGTAATTAACAATAACTTTGGGGAGTGCTGAGTATTTGCTAAAAATACAAGGTGAGTTCAGATTTGGGGCAAATAAAGCTAATAAGGAGAGGCCAGTTAGTAAAGGCCTCTTAAAGACAGGCAAAGTACTGACAATTTTTGCTTAGAAGGTATTGGGAAATCAATCAAAGTGTTTTTATCAGCATGACTGTCAATTTTTAAGATGATGGTAAATAAGAAAAGACTCTACAGAAGAAAAGATCTCATATTCAATTACCTGAGGATATAATGAGAGACACCTATTATAGACCTGAATTGACAAGTGCAATAGTAATAGAACCAGAAAAATTTAAATTCAATGAATATTGAGCATTTAACACATGCCACATGGTAGGATCTGAAAATACAAACACTAACAAACATGATCCTTACCCTTACATTCACAGAAAAACAAAGGAGACAAACACGCCAAAAGCTTGCTATAGTATCCAATCATAATTACGCTAACGCATGAACAAGGTCATGAATAAGAGAGGATGACTTAAAAATCTTTACAGAATTAGAATCAAATGAATATAAATAAAGGGAAGAAATAGAATAGTAAAAGACAACTTCATGGTTTTGAATCTGGTAATCAAGAAGGATGATAATAACAACTTTGAAAGAATAGGAGGAAAGTAAGCCAAGAAGAGGAAGAAAAAGGTAAGGGCAGTTTTGGTCACACTAAGCTTAGTTCAAAGAACTGACTGATATTCATGCAGAGATGTCTAACATGCAGCTGGAAATGTGCAGGTGAAGGCTATAGACATAGATTGGCAAATAACGAAATTACAAAATCTTCCCATTCTCAGGGCTGCAGGAGACCTTAAAACTAATCCAATCCCATTTTTCAGATCAGGAAGCCAATACTCAGAGGGGTTAACAATCTGCCTAAGATCAGTAACACAGATAATTGCTGGAGAAGCTATAAAGAGAGCCCAGGTTTCCTGACTCCAAGTCCAGAGTGCATTCCACAGGACATGATGGAGGTGCTGCTGACATTATCAGGAGAGAGGAACTGGTGAAGAAAGTGAAGGGGGCAAAATCTTGTCTAATATTCAGCACTGCGGGCAGTCAAGTACCAGGCCTAAAAGACTGAGAATCAGGATGCTGCCATGCTACACAAATCAAGGGAAGACAATGTCAGGAACTAACCCAATGTGTCAAATGTTGTACAGATGTCAAACAGAACAAACGACGTCTCTCTTCCTAGAAATCAGAATAAAGCTAGTAACCTTTGAGACAATTTTTGTAGAGTAGTAGAGGCCAAAGTTAGACTATTGTGAACTTCACTAAAGTGAAGAGTAAAGCAAGGGGACGAAACTGAAGGCAGCCAAGACAGGACAATTTTTCTCAAGAGACTTAATAGTGAGACATAGCAGGATCAAAACAAGAATTTGTACAAGCACACTTCACATGCCCATTTTCTTGCCTACAGGAGAGATGGAGAAATTAAAAATTTCAAAGTGAAAGGTGTCAACTTTATCCTAATATTGCTCGCTACTGCTTTTGCTCATCGACTTAGAAAATGCTAGTTTTAGTAACTTAATATGAAACAACTTATATAAAGTAACTTAATATAATTGGCTTTCAATAATCTACAGGGGAATTAATCACTTTGTAGATTACCTAAGGCAAGGCTTTGGTTAGTTTATTTATTCATTACATATAAATATATATATATTTTTTGAGACAGAGTCTCACTGTGTTGCCAGGCTAGAGTGCAGTGGCGCAATCTTGGCTCACTGCAAGCTCTGCCTCCTGGGTTCACACCATTCTCCTGCCTCAGCCTCCCAAGTAGTTGGGACTACAGGCGCCCACCACCACGCCCAGCTAATTTTTTTGTATTTTTAGTAGAGGTGGGGTTTCACCGCGTTAGCCAGGATGGTCGCGATCTCCTGACCTCGTGATCCACCCGCCTCAGCCTCCCAAAGTGCTGGGATTACAGGCATGAGCCACTGCGCCCGACCTCATTACATATTTTTAATACCAGTTTTCCCCATTGTAAAGTGTATAAAACACGAAGAAGCACCAAGAAATATACTATTTCCCATCCAAGAAAGCATGTTAGAAAGGCAAACCTAAAATCATTGCTCCTCCCCATCAGACTAAGCAATGAGTGGTCATAAAAATGCTCTACCTAAAATGTACGATGTCATTTAAATATCAAAGTGAATGGAGGATATTTCTGTAGATTAACAATAAATCTTGTTTCATTTGGAAAGATTTTGAAAAATTTTTTAAGAATTTTAAATCAACCTTGTGAATGCCCATTTGAAGATCTTCCTCATTATCACAGCCTTCAGCTCTAGCAAAATCTTCAACATCTTGCCATTCCTTATTGCTTCCCTTATGAAAGCACAGTCGTGTGCCTAAGGTTTAGGTAGAAAACACGTATTAGACACGTGACTGTACTAGACAAGTAAGCTGTGGAAAATTCAAGGTTTTTGTTTGTTTGTTTGTTTTACCTTTCAAAAAACAGTGCCAGACAGTTGAAGGCCAGGAATTGCACCATCCCAAATCATCATCATCTGACAGGGAGGACATGCAGAAAATGCCAGATTCTGACTCACTATTTGCCTATGGAGAAAAATATTATCAACTTTTTTATTTGTTTTTAAAATATACCTTTTAATATCTGTTTTCATCCCACGTCTTTAGGCCCATGCTTATAGGTGGATAACTTAGTAATTCTAACCTTAGGGAAAATATAATGCCTTCAAAAACTGAGGGTTGTCAGGCTGTGGGAGAATTTGCTAAAAAAAAAAAAAAAAGAAAAAAAAAGAAAAAAAAGACACACACAAAACAAAGTTTTTGGAAGCTTTAGTTATACGCACATTCCCATTAATAATAAGCTTTCCTAACACATAGCAGAGCTGTATATAAAATCAAATCCAGATCACTAACAGAACAGTGAGACTACTTCCTATGAGGAATGTTAATGTACTTCAACTGTTGTACAAACTTTGTAAAAGTTTAACCTCATAAATAAACTTACCCTTTCGTGTCTTACTGGTGTTTCCTCCTTCCAATGGTGATGAGGGAAGGCTGGTTCACTCTTCGAAGAAGAGGACACTGGTGGAGGGCGTGCATAGGAATGTAAACTTTTGCTAGTGGCTATGATGTGTACAGGAGATGATCTAAAATAAAGCAACAGTTTCAACCATAAGCATAGGTCCTTAAAGTAGATCTTTCCTATTAATGAAAGAACTTCATATTTAAAACGCCAATGTTATTACATTGAACACATTTATGGTAAACACTAGTAAAGACAGCAAGATTTCATTTTATAATTATATTCCTTAACTCCTTATCCAAACCCTCCTCACACATTTTAGACATCGTTTTTTTCAGATTTGACAATATATTTTAAACTACGACTATGGTTTCATTTATTTATCCCATTCATTTTTCTATCAATACATATACATGTGTATATTTCGTTTGTGAATGATAATACCCCCTCTAATGCAGGGCGTCCTATCCATTTCTTTCTTCTACTTTGATGTACTCAGTAAGTCTCAGTATGAAGACAGCATTTAAGCTTAGTGTAACCAACTCTGAACTCTTTATCTACCAACCACATATCACTGGGCAGATACAAGAACTACCTTAAGCAAAAATGCTTACACTTTTTATAGCAGAGAGCAGCCTATCCACCCTCCTTGTAACTGGACACTATTTCTTGTTTTCTAATACAAACTTGCTGAAAAGCAACTACATATAAGGTCTAGTTATTTTTTCTCCTCAAAGATCACCTTAAAAAAAAAACTTTATCCCTTGCCCTCTTTTCTTCCCCTCAAAAGTCTCTTTTACCAGACAATGCTCCCTTTAGAGTATATGGAGCTCCCAGGAGCATACCCAGATCCTTCCCTCACAAACAGACCAGATATTCATGGGTGGGGTAACAGAAAGAAACAAGCCTATAGAGGATGATGAATGATGTGTATGGACTCAGCAGTCTGGAAAGGAAGCAGAGAGGAAGACAGCCAGGTGGAGGAGGGAAAACCATCTGAAGGTAAGGTCCCAAATCAGGATAATTGTCTGAGATGCCAAATAGAGATCTGGTCCTTAACAGAAAAAGTTTATGCATGTCTGTACTAATACTCTTTAAAAAGGAGAGGAAGGGCCGGGTGCAGTGGCTCATGCCTGTAATCCCACCCAGCACTTTGGGAGGCCAAGGCAAGCGGATCACGAGGTCAGGAGATGGAGACCATCCTGGCTAACACAGTGAAACCCCATCTCTACTTAAAATACAAAAAACCAGCCAGGCATGGTGGTGGGTGCCTGCAGTCCCAGCTACTCGGGAGGCTGAGGCAGGAGAATGGCGTGAACCCGGAAGGCGGAGCTTGCAGTGAGCCGAGATTGCACCACTGCACTCGAGCCTGGGCGACAGAGCAAGACTCCGTCTCAAAAAAACAAAAACAAAAAAGAGAGAAAGGACATCTTTCCAATTTTTCCCTTATTCCCTGAGAATTTGTATTAGCCCTTCAATTTCTACCTTATCCTCATTAACATTTTTCATTTTACCTTTCCAGAAATTACTTTTACATAAGGATCTATACTTTCATGTTCACATCACTCCTTAAATCGAAAGGCCCTCAGATTTCCATGCATTGTAGCATACTCTCCAATTTTTGATTTCAAATTATATGCTGAATGTTTCATCTTTTGCCCAAAAACTGCCCATCCTGTTATTACACATTTAGATATATATGAAGTATCAGAGAATGGCCAAACTGCTAAATATTCCTTTTGTTCATTCCTGACTCCCTAATTTTAAAAAGTGAGTTTTATCAGTTCTTCTGTTTAACCATTTAAAACAGAAGTAACAAAAAGTAAAAATAAATAAAAATGAAGGGAACAATGTGATATTCTAAAATGTATATGGCCTAAATACTCTGTGAAAATTAACATGCTAAACACGTCCAAACACTAACAGCATTGATTTCTTCATCTCTCTCTCTATTCAGGGGTAATATAAATTTTTACCTGTCCTCAACTCCTTAACTATAGACTTCAGATATCAAAGCTCAGTAACACAGTTTAACACTCAACAATAAGCTGCATGAGCAGACAGTGTTAGGAGGTAGGCCAGACAACAGAGCATTACTCAAAATGCTGGACAGAATAATACATCCTCAGGGAGATACTCCTTTCCTTATGTCTTATGTTTTTATTTACACTGATTTTCTTCTGAAGGGTTTACTCACTTTCCATAAACTGTTATTATTAATCCTATGACTCTGCTGTAAAAAGTGAAAAAAAAGTATCTCTAGAGAAAGAAAAAAAAAATCCAATAGTTAAATCAGGTTTTTTTTTAAAAATAAATAAATAAAAGAATTTTTAGCTTTTTGACTATTAAGATTACAATGAAAACTAGGACTATAAAGGAAATAACAACTCTGAAAGGAAGTTTTCTTTCCTGTGGAAATGAACACGGAATTAAACTGAAGTTAATTAAATTCAATTTGCTCTAGTCAAGATCAATATCCTGCTAAATGTAAGAAAAGCAGCACAACTTAATGGGTTACAAGAAAAGTGAGATTTCATACCTAATAAGTTTATTCTTTAGCAATGCATTACACTCAAGAGCACTAACAAAATTTACAGTTATTCCTACATTACCTAGTATAAAACTCTGGTCTATCGTTTTCCACTCACAGGTGTGCAAATATGGGCATTTCTCTCCCTTATAAACTGTCATATTTATCCATTTCTTTTCAGGGATAAATAATGAAGTGTTTTCCACTTAGGTCTCCCTAGGCATATTAGCTGGAAGCTTCCGTAATTTCATAGCACAACCACTCATTTTCTTAAACTCTGTCTGGATATATGAAACAGTGATTTTTACCAATGGGAACCCACTTTTGTAAGTTTAAGATTTTAATATTAGCAAATTTTAGAATTAGCAAACAGGCAAATAATGTAAGGCCACATAAACTATGGAAGAAATAAACCTAGACCAAAAGGAACCCAACTAAAGGTTGATAAAATTTAAAATATAATCTTGATTACAACTCTGCTTCCTTAGAGAAATACAATTTTCATTTCTATATGTAGAAATGTATAGTAAAAGTATTTCATGGTCTAATTTATTTTAAACATTTACAAATTTTTTTACTCTATGGTTCTCTTTATCACCTTTATCTAATTCTCAAAATATGAAATCATGGTAGTGAGTGAAATAAGTCTTTGATCATTAGATAAGGAGCTTAATTCTAATGACTTAAATTCTAATAATTTAAAGTATTACTACTTTTAAACTAGAAAAATTTTTAAATAAAACCTTTGTGTAATGATAGAATGTTTCAATAAAAATATAATAAATGCTCCTACCTATTGTAAAATGAGCACTGCATCAGTGGACTTTGTGGACTGGTCGCGATATTTGCCAATTCTGTTAGCCAGTCCACCTCATTTTCACGGTAAGTAGTTTCTGGTATGTCTGAGGTATTTTGGTTCCAAGATGATCTTGGGTATTCTTGATGTGAAACATCTGAACTCAGCTGGTACATGCCAGATTGGGTAGGATCACTTTGAACTGCCTGAAGTTCAGGAAGGTCATCTGCAAATAAGCACACTCAAAATCATAAAAAGGAAATTACTAATACAAGGAACAATATTATAACTGCAGTTAAAAGAGAAGTCCTCAATTTTAGCTAATTAATTTTGAGAGAGGAAAATCATAAATTTAACATTCTGTTCACAGACTGGAAAAACATGGTTTGGTTTGTGTTTTCTGCTTCTTATTCCCCCTAGTGTTTTGTACCTCACCTAGGAGTGATCCATATGCCACTGAGATATTTTTACATTAACAAGTTAATGAAGAAAAAGGCATTTTATGTGTGCAATATGGACTTATTACTCACATACTTTAATAACCTGTTATACAGACTATAAACAATAATTTCCATAATGATAATATAGATCACATAAATATTTAGCTACTACTTACACAACTCTGTGTTAAAGTATTTCTTTTTACTAATAAATTCTGAACTTGTTAATATTTACTGGTTATTTATCGGTTATTTTTTCCTATAAGTGCATTCCTAAAAGGCAATTCATGATACCCTTTCAGCTCCCCATAAGATGACTGGAACTATTACCCAGCTACCACTCATGCACACACCAAGCACTATAAGGAACATGAATTCCAAAATACTGAATTCTTAAAAAAAATTATATATATATTCTTTTAAAAAATCATATATATGTCTGTATGTATGTGTGTATGTAGTAGGGAAGAAAAAGCATCTTGAAGGCTTAAAAAAAAAAACTCTCCACGAAACACATACCTACAAACTCCACAAACCTATTGGGTCCCTTAAATATACAAGTCAAGAAAATTTCTAGTCTCCTAAATGTCACTATAAAAGTATGTATAACTCCTATTCAGGCAAATATTCCAGAATAGTCTACTAAAACCGAAATGTCCTATCTTAAAAAAAAAAAAATTTTTTTTTGAGATAGGGTCTTACTCTGTTGCCCAGGCTGGAGTGCAGTGGTACAATTATAGCTCACTGCAGCCTTGGACCCCTGGGCTCAAATGATCCTCACGCCTCTGCCTCTCAAGTAGCTAGGACTACAGGCATGTACCCACCATGCCCAGCTAATTTTTAAAGAAAATTTTTGTAGAGATGATATCTCACTACGTTGACCAGGCTGGTCCTGAACTCCTCCCACCTTGTCCTCCCAAAGTGCTGCGATTACTAGCGTGAACCATCATGCCAAGCCAAACTGAAATGTTTTAATTAGAAGCACTGACTCGGGATATCCATTTGTAAAAACTGACTTCTTTCATGGAGTCATGAAGGAGCCAAGGAGTTCTAGAACATCACACTAATTTAAAATAATTCTACCCTACAATTTTCATGCTGATATAGCTATTTCCTTTCCCTCACTGCCTTTGACCAACATTTATTTACTGCAAAGGGTTCATTTCTGTTTCTGAAGTTCAGGAAATTACTTTTTAAACGAAGTCATAGGTGGAAGGGGCATGTTATTTATACTCCCCTCGGCCCTAAGTTTCTGAGTTCCTCCTTAAACCAAAAACTGAGGAAGATCAACTACCTGATTAAAATGGCACTCCTTGCTCAAAAGTAACCAGTACTCAATAAATACTAGGGTCCAGAAAATCCTTGGCATTCAAGCAGGTTATGTGTCCCAAGAGCTTAAGATCTCTAAATTTCCAAACATTACCATAGTACATAATCTCCTCCATTTCATCATTTGTAAAATTAAGACAGCTGTATCTTCTCCCCAGGGTTTTTATAAACATGAAGGAAACCCCCATATATTAAATGGGGGCAAAGCCAAGCTGAAAAGCTGGGCAGCAAGCCAAGGTGACTCATTAGCTCCATACTCCTGAACACCAGCCTTGAAGCAATACAATTCAAAAACACACCTCAACAAACTTACACATTTCTAAAGGTCACATATCTCCAGGAGTAGTTTAGCAATAGTAACAACCATAAATGTCAGATCCTCAAGTTTCAAGGGTCCACTGTAATTTCCACATCATACCAGCAAATCTGCCACGAAGAGTGGCTAAGCATATTTTACTGAGCTCTCTCAAGTATATTTCAAAAGTAGCATCTTTCGAAAAGCCACGAGTGGGGTCCAATCTTTACACACAAAGTAAAGTAGTTTAATTTAACAATCTGTAAATGAGTGTCTACAATAACCATAAATAGCCCAACTCATGTTGGTTTTAAGTAGTATTTTAAAAGCAATAAAAGAATGCTGAAAATTCCTAATATACAAATACTTCATATCCCTTTCTAGCCAGTCAAGGTTGGTGGAGAAGCGGGCTAAGTAGAAAAATTTATCTGAATCTTAGTGAGATTTCTATATAACTTTTAATTTTGCTTACCAAGCTCCATGTGTTCATCACAGGAGTTATATCCAGGTGAAGATGGCAAATTCTCATTACACTGCAGCAACTCCAATGAGTCATTCATTCCTGAGGCTCTCTTGTCCATCACCAACAGGAGTTTCTGTACTGCATTAGGCATCTGATTTGTCTTCACTTCCCACACCATGTTATGGTGCTCTGACTTAAAATAAAAACGACATTAAGAAATGATGTCAAGCCATGCAATTTGGGCAGTACACAAACCTAAAATAAATCAGAGACATGACAATGTTGTTTTGTTTTTTTTTTGAGACATAGTCACACTCTGTCACCCAGACTGCAGTGCAGTGGCGTGATCTCGGCTCACTGCAAACTCCACCTCCTGGGTTCAAGCGATTCTCCCGCCTCAGCCACCTAAGTAGGGGGGATTACAGGCACATGCCACCACGCCGAGCTAATTTTTGTATTTTTAGTAGAGATGGGGTTTCGTCATGTTGGCCAGGCTGGTCTTGAACTCCTGACCTCAAGATATCCGCCCACCTGGGCCTCCCAGAGTGCTGGGATTACAGGCGTGAGCCACCACGCCCGGCCACAGTGTTAGATTTTAACTTAATCATACACTGCCATTTATAGCTCCCTCAAATCCTTTAGACCCGGATGACTCCTTAACATCTTGGCCTACAACTGAATACTCAGCACTAAATCACATTTCAATCCCAAAAGATTAATATCTTGAATTATAAAAAAAAGTCTTTTCTGCTGAGGAAAAATGGCATTGTATATACTTTTATTTAACCTAGTAACCGTCCTTTCAGATGCAAAAACTGAGACTAATAGGACTCTTTTTTTCACTTGTACCTTCAAATTCAAAAGGAAATTTAAAAACTTTCCTTAATAAAAGTTAAAAAAAACTGGAAGAATATTCTATTTTGTCCTTTTTTAAAGATTCTATTTTAATGTCTCTATTTACTGTGTTTTTTATTTTGTTTCTTCATTCTGAAAGTGAACTACTTCAGCACACTTAAAAAAATACATTTTCTTTTTTTTGAGACGGAGTCTCGCTCTGTCACCCAGGCTGGAGTGCAGTGGCACAATCTCGGCTCACTGCAACCTCTGCCTCCTGGGTTCAAGCGATTCTCCTGCCTAACCCTCCCTAGTAGCTGGGATTACAGGCGCGTGCCACCACACCCAGCTAATTTTTTGTATTTTTAGTAAAGACAGGGTTTCACCATGTTGGCCAGGCTGGTCTCAAACTCCTGATCTCAGGTGATCCACCCGCCTCGGCCTCCCAAAGTGCTGGGATTACAGGCATGAGCCACCGCACCTGGCCAAAAAAAGTACATTTTCTAAATAACATTTCAGAGTTTCTTAAAATGGTCATATATTACAATTCTCATAAAAATAAAAATGTTCTTAGGTTTTCTTAATGAAAATTTGGGACCTAGCCATAATAAAAGATACCTGTCATTCTGAATAGGATATTATGTATAGAAAGATGAATAATCATCATGGGAAATTTAAACAACTAGTAAATCTACCTGCAAGCCTACAAAATTATCACAAGGAAGAGAATATGGGTTAATAAATTTAAATAATTTCTCAGCAAAATCCAACAACTAAATATTATTATGAAAGGAAAATGTGGTTGTCTCTTTTATTTCACCCTTTGGACAACGATCGAATTAGTTCTTTATTTAACATAAGCAACAATGGTAAGATTTTTCTGATTTCTCAGGCTCTAGTCTAAATTCCATTTTTTAAAAAAGTTCTAGCCTGATGCAGTAGCTCATGCCTATAGTTCCAGCTACTTAGGGTAGACTGAAGGGGGACGACAACTTCAGCCTATGCGTTGGAATCCAGCCTGGGCAATGTAGCAAGACCCCCCCTCTTAAAGAAAAAGTTCTAATGAGTGAATATGAAATACACAAAAAAATCCTGACTTTTGCAACAACATATTTTTCCTCAAAATAAAGCAATAAAATATATTGCTGTTAAAAGTCACTGAAAGTCAAGCACCCAGTGCAGGCTGATCAAAACTGCACTGAAAAAATGTTAATCACTTAATATTTATAAGCTTTCTAAGTCATGATGTTAATTACCAATAAACACCGATGACACTGATAAATTTCTTTCTACGAAGACTTTTTCATGATCTTTTTGGTTTTGAAATGTATTCCTGACTAGAAAATACAATCACTGTGAAAAAAAATGGGAAAAAAAATTTTTTTGGAAAAAAAGGAATATGATTACTTCTAACCCCACCAACCAGACTTAGATATTTTTACATTTTGATGTATTACAATCCAATTTCTTCTTCATGTACACATATACTCAATCATGTTTTTCTTCATATTTCATATTATAGTTTGATACCTTTTGGCCTAATATAAGTTCATAAGCATTTTCCTATGTTATTTTTTCAAAGCTCTAAATGGTTAAATATACATCAGAAGGATGTACCGAAATTCACTTATCCCCTCTACTACTGAATATGCTATTCCCAGTTTCTTCACTCTTCTAAACACTGAATTTATATTCTTATTTTTTAAAAGTATTTGCTTACATCTGATTATTTTAGATTGCTAGATACAGCGTTCTTGACACATAGCCCAACTGCATGCATATTGCCTTACTGTATGTCTAATATTCTATTTTGGATGCTATCTGCCTATATCCCTCAAAAATAACCCTTAGCCTGGGCACTGCTTTAGAGCCTTGCTCAATACTGACTATACAATTTGCTACTATTATGGTGTAGCAAAAAGGGCACTGGGTTAGATGTAAGGAAACGGGTTTTGATTCCAACTTGATCACTTACCAAATATATGACCTAAGTGACTGAGTTTCTCTTCATCTGTAAAATAGAGCTAATGATACCTGCCCTACTCTCCTCTGATAGTAGTTGTGAAGATGAAATGAAATAGTGAAAAAAGTGTAAAATGACGTCTTTTGAAATTTTTTTATCCCCAGACATAGGGCAATATTAAACATACTTTGGGTCTGTAATGTCCTAAATAGAACAGCTACTGAAAATACATAATTAACAGGTGGAAACCAGATAGCTATTCAGTTTCAACAGTCTCCTCCCTAGGAGATATTATGACAAGTCATCCAGCACATCTCCATAAAAATCATGTATCATGCCATTACTTCAAGCCCCTAAAAGATGAAATTTGGAAGAAATTAACGCTTCTCCAGTTTAGTACAATGTACTGATCACAATCAGTCTTAGCATATAGTTACAGCAAATATGCTAGGATATAACAATTTCCCCCACAGAACTAGCGACTAGAGAAAATGTGTAACACAAATCTATTTCTCAAGTATGAAATCACGATTTTAAGCCTCCACTCTCTCCCTGAAAAAAAAAAAAAAAAAAATGGAGCAAATTTAATTTCATCAGTGATTCTCTACTCTGTGGCACACGAAATCATACATATGCTTAAAAAAATGTTGTCCAGGCCCCATCCCCAGAGGATCTGATCTGTTTGGTGTGGGGTATGGCTTTGTGCACTAGTTTTTGTTTCCAGGTGCAGAATACTGAGATACACTGGGCTAAAAATGGTTGCTAAATTCCTACTTATTAAAAAAATCATTTATTTAATAAATACTATGTACAGGGCATTGTATTAGTTGCAATGCTGGATCTCACTAATGAACAATTCATCATGAGTCTGACTTTAGTGGAAAGATATAAGCAAATGACCATAGTTCTACAGAGCAGGACTTGGCTATGAATGGGTTAAAAGAAAAGAAGGGGCTAGATCAGTGGTTCACGCCTGTAATCCCAGCACTTTGGGAAGCCGAGGAGGGCGGATCACGAGGTCAGGAGTTCCAGACCAGCCTGACCAACATGGTGAAACTCAGTCTCTACTAAAAATACAAGAATTAGCCAGGTATGGTGGCACGCGCCTGTAATCCAACCTACTCAGCAACCTGAGGCAGGAGAATCGCTTGAACCCGGGAGACAGAGGTTGCAGTGAGCCGAGATCGCACCACTGCACTACAGCTTGGGCAACAGAGCGAGACTCCATTTCCGAAAAAAAAAAATGAAAAAAGAAAAAAAGCCGGGTGCGGTGGCTCACGCCTGTAATCCCAGCACTTTGGAAGGCTGAGGCGGGCAGATCACGAGGTCTGGGGATAGAGACCATCCTGGCTAACATGGTGAAACCCTGTCTCTACTAAAAATACAAAAAATTAGCCAGGCATGGTGGCGGGCGCCTGTAGTCCCAGCTACTCGGGAGGCTGAGGCAGGAGAATGGCGTGAACCTGGGAGGCAGAGCTTGCAGTGAGCTGGGATTGCGCCACTGCATTCCAGCCTGGGCGACAGAGCAAGACTCCGTCTCAAAAAAAAAAAAAAAAAAGAAGAGAGGGAGGTCTCCCAATGAGAGAAACTCACATGAGTAAACTCATATAGCTGGCAAAGTCCTAGTGAGATCAGAATATAGAATCTAGTTTTACCACAAAGTAGGATGGCCTTGTGTGTCATGTGATCATGAACACTGAGGCTATACTACTACTACTACTACTATATGGAAAGGTAGTCTAGGATCAGAGTCTTCAATTGTAGTTTAGGAAAACTATTTATTTATTTAGAGACAAGAATAGGGGCTCTGAAATCAGGCTGCCTGAGTTTAAATACCAGATTTGCCACTTACTAGCTATGTACCCTAAATAATTTACTTAAAATCTTCATGCCTTGTTTATAAAATGGCAATAAAAGTACCTACCTCACAGGCTGCTACAAAAACTCAGTGAGATCATGTAAAATGCTCAGAATAGAGCCTAACACAAAGCAAACCTTCAATGTACAGTGGCTAGTGTTATGATTAGCAATTATCAGACAATGAAGAACCACTGATGATTTTTTTTTTTAAAAGAGGTCTGACATGATCAGAACTATACTTTAAAACAGTCTCTTTGAGTCTATGGACAAAATCATACTGAAATACTGTATGAGTATGCAGGAACACCTATAATATTTTAAGGAGGGTATTTTTTTTTTTAAAGAGAGCACTCACATTCCCAGTCTCTATGAAAGCCACCCGTCTCCAGCTTCCTTTGCAATGGTTCTCAGTGCAGATTCCTTATTTATTAACTCTTAAGAGAGAAACTAGTCATACTATGTGAGTTCTTTAAACACCTAATATTAACAGTTTAGATAGGAGATTTTAACTCTTTCCATAGAAGTATTTCTGGCATCTTAAGTATACAGAATATAATTTAACCTATTTTGATAACTAAAAATCCTTATGAATATCCGTACTATGCTTCACATACAGATGTGAGCTGCACAGTCAACCTTATCTGAACTGAAAACATTTCCCATTTTTACCTTTATTATGAAATTTAGAAGCTGCACTACACAGGTATCTCTCTTCAGAGCTATCCTCTGTGTATGAACAGTGCTGTTCTTGGGGTCCACAGAAGCACAGCTGCAGTCTGTCTTGTCTTCCCCCTCCCTCTGCAGAGCTCTTTGGTTTCCTCATTCTTTCCAGCTAGAACTTTTTTCTTCCCTACAGCAGGTCCTGCAGTTTCCAACATTCACCAAGTATAGTACACTAACGTCTCTTTGCAACTTCTATCATTTCTTCAGCACTTTGTCTTAGTTATCAACCACCATCCCAAAACTCCTTAAATGAAGTTGGAAAAAGACATTATTTTAATTTCAAAACAGAGCTACCTATAAATAACCAAAAGAACCAAATAAATATTTACTGAATATAAGTTCTATGTGTTCACACCTCTCATTGCTCAAGGCTATCAGAAGTTTGGTCCTGAGAAAACTGAAGTTCTGCTACTGTAAAGCTACCATACAGTAAGAGAAGCTACACTTCAAGACAACAGACTTCAGTTTCACTCTTACTAGCTGTGTAACCGGGGACAGGTCACTCACTCAATCTCAGACTCACGGTCGGTCCCTCTACTTACCTCACAGGGCTATTCTGAGAATTCAATATATGAAAACAAAATTCAAAACTACATACAAATGGAAATTTTCTGTCTCTTCTGTCTATTCTCAACTATTCTGAAGAAAGAAAGCAAGGTCTCCAATACAATAAAGGAATACCAGGGAAGCCCTTACATTTCTTACTCCCCTACATATATTATACCAATTACATACTCATTTTGATAAACAAGCTCCTCTTTCAAATATCTCCTGGTAGAGCTAACCCTATTGTTCATTCATGCTTTTGTATACTGCTTTGGTATCAGATTCAACACAGCTTGCCTTGTATTTTAGTTAACTCTGCACATGTCATCTCTTCACGAGATCAGTGATTCTCAGTATCTATTTTCCAGAAGTTGTACTCTGAAATGTCATGTTCAGTGTTACAAATTTTACTTTCTTAGAATGCCCCATTGCTTTTGGTATGCAAACTTCCAGAAGCAAATATCCACAAAATCTTAAGACAGGAGAGAAAGAGAGAACTAGAAAAACCTAAGTCTCAATGAATGAAGAAGGAAACAGTTTTACAAAATGCTTACCTACACAGCACTTCCATGTACTTCATCTAATTTTATTTTAAACTCAGAACAACTCTGTGAATAAAGTATTATTATGGATGAGGAAAACAGGACTATGATGACTAAATGGGATCATTTTCTTTTTGAAGGCGAGAGCTGAGAGGGAAAAAAGACAAAAGGTATAAGCCAGCATGGGTTACTTCCTGCTTTCAAGTGCCTATTATTCCCTGAATCCTTACTTTTCCATCATCATCATGGAATCCACAGCAGGATCTTCTATATGCTCTCCCCTAATCCTGAAGGATTTCCATAACCAGTCCAGACTACACGCTCAAATTGTTTTCAAAGAGTAGGTGAAGAAAAGGTAATTTGCAATTAATTTCTATCTCTGAAACTGAGGTATTTTAAATGGATTACATAATTACATGCTAAAACAAGCCTCCATAACAAAGTATATTAAATGCAACTTTCTATACCAAAAGCATCTCTGAGGCTGTAATGCTGTTCTTTTAGAGTATTTTCAACAAAACTTCAAAAGATTTCACAGGTATTTGTCTACAACTCTAGTTTGCCACCGGGCTACAAGAAAAGACAAAACAACAACAAAAACCCTTAGTGGATTCGTTTTGGTCACTTACCACTTTCATGGCCCTGAACAATTAAATCTCTAGGCCTGTTTTCTTATTTGGACCTGTTTTTTTTATTTGTAAATAAGACTAGTGGCCAGGCCCAGTCACTCAGGCCTGCAATGCCAGCACTTTGGGAGACCAAGACAGGAAGATCGCTTGAGCCAGGAGTTCAAGACCAACCAGGGCAACATAGCAAGATCCCATCTCTAAAAAATTTTTAAAAATAAGTAAAAAAAAATGGGACTAGTACCTATCTACCTATCAGAATTGTTGTAGGTATAAAAGATATTACATCCCACAGACACTGCCCAATCCACATCTATACAAGTTCTTAGTAATTTCATGCTCATTCAACATGAAATACTATATTGATCAAGACAATAGAAAACCCATTAATAGCAGAAGCAGTCATCCACAAACTGTTTTAGGAGTACTGTCAATTCAAATAAGTATTTAAGATGAGTCATATAAGATAAGTCACATATTAAAACGACATCATCTAAAAATTCTTATGAAACTTGTTTTCCTAAACTTTGGTGCTTCATAATTTCTATTATCATTTTCTATGGAGAAACTAGAAACATAATTTTCTCCATAATGTGGTTCACTGAGTTTACAAAACTAAGATGAAACTAGAAAGTGAAATCAAAACTTCATTCTATAATTTATCAGTCGAGTAAGCACAAACAATATTTTGCTTTAAAGTGGTTAAATGGCTCCTCAAAAGTATAAGATAAACTCCTAAACATTTTTACATTATCTATAAAAACTTGTGGGAAAAGCTTTTTTTTAAAGCTATGATCAATAACTTTTAAAAACTCAACCACAATTATGGAGAAAATTATGTTTCTAGTTTCTCTATAGAAAATGATAGTAGAAATTATGAAGCACCAAAGTAAATGCTGATAAGTATATGAAAAATGTGAATGTTACTGATATCAGGCAATTAATAAGAATATTAGAGTATGCCATTTTTCCCTGAATTTTGTGATATGCAGGTATCTGGCAGCTTTAATTTTTTTTTAATTCATTGTGATTTATTTTTCCATTCTAAGTAAATACTCACTTTCATACTTAACAGACATAAAATTCCTGGCATTGACTCTTTTTTTTTTTTTTTTTTGGAGAGGAAGTCTCGTTCTGATGCCCAGGCTGGAGTACAGTGGCCTGATCTTGTCTCACTGCAATCTCTGCCTCCCGGGTTCAAGCGATTCCCTTGCCTCAGCCTCCCAAGCAGCTGGGACTACAGGTGTGCGCCACCATGCCCAGCTAACTGTTGTATTTTTAATAGACAATTTCACGACGTTGGCGAGGCTGGTCTTGAACCCCTGACCTCAGGTGATCCACCCGCCTCAGCCTCTCAAAGCGCTGGGACAGGCGTGAGACACCGTGCTGGGACAGTAGTAACTTCTAATGGATAATGTATGCGTGGGGTGGAAAGGGGAGTACCAGTATTTTTATTTCAAACACATATACAAAACACCAGCTTGCAATTCACCCTGAAGAACCCTCAGCACAGAGCAGTTTCATAAGTCCATGCCATCGTGCCATATGCCTTCTTCACTGGCCACTTCGATTAGTGAGGAAAGAATCCAAAGAAGTTAAAATATAGTGGGCCGGGCACGGTGGCTCACACCTGTAATCCCAGCACTTTGGGAGGCCGAGGCGGGCAGATCACGAGGTCAGGAGATTGAGACCATCCTGCTCAAAATGGTGAAACCCCGTTTCTATTAAAAATACAAAAAAATTAGTTGAGAGTGGTGGCGCTCACCTGTAGTCCCAGCTACTCAGGAGGCTGAGGCAAGAGAATCGCTTGAACCCAGAAGGTGGAGGTTGCAGTGAGCCGAGATCGCACCCCTGCACTCCAGCCTGGCGACAGAGCGAGACTCCCTCTCAAAAAAAAAAAAAAATATATATATATATATATATATATATATTTATACATGTATATGTTATATATTTTATATATATACATGTATATGTTATATATTTTATATATATACATGTATGTTATATATTTTATATATATACATGTATATGTTATATATTTTATACATATACATATGTATATAGTGAAGAAAACAACTCTTACAGTGACAGTATCATGTTTGACGTCTGAGAGGTATGCCCTGTGAAGCACACAGGATAGCGGAGACATGTAGGTGGGCAATCCTGGGAGAAGGTACCCTTTTAACTAGGGTATGTAGTTAGGAGTTTGAGAAGTTAAGAAAGAGGAAGGGTTTTCGAGACAGAAAAGATAAGTAGGTTTACAAAACTAAGATGAAACTAGAAAGTGAAATCAAAACTTCATTCTATAATTTATCAGTAGAGAAAGCACAAACAATATTTTGCTTTAAAGTGGTTAAACGGCTCCTCAAAAGTATAACATAACCCAAAAACTTTAGGGAGTGGATTTAATTCTCAATATAATTCAAATTTCCTTGAAATTTTGTCAACTACTGTCTACCTTGCAAGAACTGAGTTTAACCAAGGCAACTGAACAGATGACCGACTCTACCACACTCATTTGCAAGATAAAGGAAAATAGCAAAAAAAAACCAAAAGTACAAGACATACATTGCAGATTTAGATCACTGTTAAATGACCAGAAAAGTATTTCCAATGTTAAAATTATTCTAATTCTCAAAAAGTACCTTTAATTTCAAAACCACTATTAGGAGTGCTTACGGCTATTCAGAGGGAAGTATTAATAAAGCTAAAGCCTCCATCCGAGCTGTTAGTAGGACTCCATCGCTTCCCAGTATGTATAACTCCTTTTCTAAGCCTCCTCTCGTCCTGGCATCAGTGGCACCATGAGCCAAAAACAAAACAAACAGAAAACTTGAGTATTACCTCGCTGTCAGTGCTCCTTCTAAAAACGACTGTAGCTGAAAACTCCCTAAGAATGAACTCGAGTGTAGAGTGCACAGCGGAGAGTGAAACACCCTAGACAGCACGCAGCATTTAAAGCTACAAAAACCTGGCTGTCCACTTCGCCTGGTTTGTTTTGTTTTGTTTCAATCGGCCTGCGGTGGCAGCATAGGTTGAAAGGCGGAGACTGGAATCGCCTGCCAAGCCTCCTCTTTGGGTCACACAGAGCGGTGCCTCCCGGTTCACGCCAAGTCCATCCCCCACCCTCTTTCGCCATTCATCGCGTTCCCCTCCCTTCCCCCCATCATGTGACCGCAGCCCGGACTCCGGGCTTGTTTTTCCCCTCGGCTCAGCCCCAGCGCGCAGGCGCCTGGGAGCCCATTCATTCGAACTGCGTAACAATGAGCCCCGGGGCCCAGCGGCTCCGCGAGCTCCTCAGCTCAGCCAGAATCCCCCTCAGTCCAGAAGGAGGCGGCGCCTCACTGGGGTCCCCCACCTCCGGCCAGCCCCCCACCCCTGGCCAAGCTCCGACCCTCCGCCCACAAACGGGGAGTTGAAGTCAAACTTTCCTGGGCAGCCCCGGCGCTGCGTCGGCCCCTTCCCCCGCCCTGGCCCGCCCCATCTCCACACCCGGCCCGGCCACCCACCGCGCGACCTGGCCCGGAACTTCGCCCTCCCCCTGCCTCCTCCCGGCCCCCGCCCGAGACCCCCTAGCGCCGCCGCCCCGAAGCCCAGGTGAGCTCGCGGGAGACGCTGCTCCGGTGGGCTCGCCGCGGGCACCAATCGAACGGTTAACTGCCCCCACCCCAAGGGCAACCCTCCGAGAAGAAGGAACGAGGACCCGAGCCCTCCAGTCTGCCCAATCCCCCGCGCTCCTGCCCCTCCCTTCCCCACCCCCACCTCTTCCCTAACTGAAAGACAACAAACCTGCCGCGAAGTGCCGGCAGCCCAGGCGCGGGCCGCTCCGGCCACGACAACACCACCAGCAGCTCTCGTACCCCCTCTCCGACCGACGTCGGCCTCCCCCGCGCGGGTTACTGCTCCCGCGGCAGCTCTTACTCCTCAACCGAAACTTTCCTACTTACCAAACCCGTCGCCATTACCAAGTCTTTCAAGCTTCGTCTTCCCCCTCCCCTCAACCCCCTGGGGGTTGAGCCCCGCCCAGCTCTTTCGCCCTCTTATTGGACTGCAGAACTGCCATTCGGTTCTTCCCCTTTCCCATTGGGTGGTACCGTGGTCCGTCTCGGGGGGCGGGCATGTATTGACTTTTGTGTTGTGTTTACTGGAGAAGATGGCATGTCAATCACAAGAGTAAGTGCTTCGGATTGGACTATTGCCGAGAGTCCGGGGACCCAAGCCAAACTTTGTCCCCGAAATGGATTGTGGGTTCGTAGTCTCAAGCCTTGGTCCTTGGCTGTGGGAGACTGCTGGCCGGGGAAGAGCTGGACTACGTATCCCAGAGGCGCTCGCACAGCGCAGTCTTGATAGTAAACAAGAGTCATAGGGACACGTGTATCAGCTCGTTTGTTTTGGTGTCTGGGACAAAAGGGAGGGGGCGGAGGAAGGGAGTGTTTTAAAGCTTGGGCCTCTTCTTTTCCTCCGGGCCTCTGCTAACACTTAGAGCGGCCCAAGCCTCTTGCAGCACCCAATCCGGGCCATAAACAGCCAGAGTTGCTCGCTGCTCAAGAGTTTGGCAGGAGGCCAGGGTATTGTTTTAGTGCGAGGGGAAGGAGATGACTGCACCAGCGGAAGTACTGCAGGCTAGCGAGGGACTTGATCACCCACAAATCACGGCCCCAGGCACGAAGGGGTCGAAAGTGATGCTGGGGGCTGCACTGGCAGTGGGAAGAACTAGAAGTCCTTTCTCTTGTGCCTTGCCTCACCACTCCCAGGACAGCAACTTGAGATTGCCTTGTCAGCTCTGTTCAGTTCACCTAAGTTTGTTGAGCCGCCACCTAAGTGCCAGGAAGAGTGAGGCTGGGGGATGGACTGTGAGCAAGCGAGAAGCTGGAGTCTAGAGAATTTACAAAGCGGGGGCGGGGGCGGGCGATTACGAAATTGAGGCAAGTTAAAGCGGCATTTTCCATACTGATTAGTATGCTCGTTGGTTAACGTAATACAAAGGGTGTAATGTATGACGTAAACTGATTTAATTTGTGAATCATTATCAGTAAGTTTCTCTGGTGAGTTTTATTAACCCTCTTTTCCTTCTAGACGTTTTCTCATTGATGAAAGAAACTGTCTTTCCACTTCATTTCCACTAGGAGTTCCTCAAGTTACGAATTCTCTGACTCACCAGAGACGCTTCCCTGCTTTATAGTTAACTTCTCTTTAAACATGGCTGTCCATTCACAGTCGGCTGCATCTAGTCAATAATTGGTGTCTTTACCATTCACATTACAAAGGCATGATTAAGCTTTTTCCCCCCTTTGAACCTTTAGTGTTTAATCATTTAAATTGTGCTTTAGATTTTCTAACTTTAGATCACTAAATATATGCTTAGAATTAAGATGAGGAAAACCTACATTAGTAAGAAATCTGTAAAAGCAAACCTTTGGACAGAGCCAGAAATCACACAGCTAGTTATTTCTTTAAAACCTCCTGCATTTCTTGGATTTTTAAATATACCTGAAAGCCGCGTAACAAATCAAGAAATCCAAAATAAGCCCCCACATGTTGAAATCGAGTTTAAAATTCTTGAGAATTCCCCATTTGAATCCGTGAAGTGAAATTATAAAGTAGTCCTCCCGTGTAATCAAATACTTACTTTCTATGTTCACAAATAGTAATAAAGCATTCTATTTTTTATTAAAATAATTCAGAGGAGAGCCAACAGAATGCTTAATTTTTTCCCTGAGGAAAAAGGACAGGATTTGAATTTATCATCTTTCAGAAATTATTAGTGACTCAAAGAAATGAATGTCTCTGCTACTTTGTGTATGCTTTTTTTTTTTTTTTTTTTTTTTACAATGGAGGGTCATCGTGTACTAGAATAGAAAATATAAACTCTACTCCAACATGTAATTTCTTGACAAAAAAGAAAAATCTGTGAAGTTCACCTAATTATTTAAAATTGTTTTGAGATATTTATGTCTAACTCCTCCTAGAAAACTAAAAAACTTTTCTCTTAAAAAAAAAAAAAAAAAAGAGCTGGCAAGAGATTGACATACTGCTTTACCCCTCTCCAGTACACAAACTGTGAGATCTGCTTTCAGCTAAACCTTGTTTTTAAAAGTTAAACTATTTTAAAGTTTTTACCAAATGCCTTAGTGGTGATTTTTTTTATCGGGGGACACCGGAAATGGGGAAAAAAAATTCAACTTTAGATCCAGATATTGTACAATATGTTACAAATAATAATTTATCCTTTAATAGCTCCATAAAGCCTTTTCCATTCATTCAGAAACGTTTAGTTCCATTTTTTGACCACTGTGCCAATTATTGAGAATAAAAAGATAGAAAACATTTTTTGCACACTTTTTCTCATTTTTATCCAAGTCTTTAATATGAGTTAAATTTAGATAGTTTAGTCACAACTGATTAAATACTAGTATTAGAATTCGCTACACCTTTAAGTGGACACTTAGTCCAATCTTCTGACTTCCGTGGGGGGCTAAATGACCACATTAGTAGCTTATGTGTATTTACCAGAGACATCATCATTAATTGAGTGACCAATAAAACTAGCCAACTTATAAGCCAGAACAAAGATCAAAGTACAAAACTAGTAAGATCTCCTTGGAAATTTTTACATGTGCTAATTATACTCTCAGACTAAAACAGATATAACTACAGTTTTTAACTATCTTTCAGATGTTTCCATGATAAAATTGAAGTTAAAAAATCAGTTACTTTAAATAACACCTCTTCTTGATTGGTACAGTCACCATATCTATACACACATATACACACATAAAATGTATGCAAAAAAATGTCAAGAAATTGTCAAATCAAAATGTCTTTCCAGCGGTTTGTAAAGTTACCTCTGTTATCTTAAATATCAAGTTCTAATTTGTTAGAGATAGTAAAAAACGAACAGAAGAAAAACAAAAAACCGGTAAATCCTATTTAGGAGTGAAATAATGTGTTTCCCTGATTCCACCATATTTGACACACCAATGACTGCTTTGCTTAACTACAGAGAAGTTCAAGTACATGCATTGCCTGATATTGAAAATAATCACTTTGAATTGTCAAAAGGTAAACAAATGAAATCACATGAACAAGTACTAAATGGAGAAATTGAACACATGTATGGTCTAAGTACTTCTCAAAGTTTTCAGACAGCATCTTGAATGTTTAAACTCCAACAAATATCCTTCCATATACCTTACTATCCTTTCAAATGAGTTAATTTTCTAATTAGTTCAAAGTACTCAGGTAATTCAGTCAAGTTGTAATGAAATCCACAGGAGCTAATGATGGCCATTGTAGAAGTGAGTCATCTGTCTCCTGTTCCTGTAGTTCTTGATGCAACTGAAGTTTAGATTTTGCTCCGATGACCAGAAAGCAAGACCTTTCTTCAGTGGCTGATAAGCTAATGTCTTAACACTATAACCACATTAGGAAGAAAAATCAACGTAAAAGGGAAGAATCAAAATGATTGTGTCTCCAGCTTGGGTAATTGCAGTATGTTGGGGAAGGGTGGTTATGTTGATGTTATTGACTGAGGGAATGCTGGAGAGGATAGCAGATTTGGGGACTGGGAGGAAGGGAAAGGATAGGTTCAACCTCGGGTGATAAGCATGCTGTGCAGGAAGAAATTTGAGTCCAGAGGTCCTTGGGCAGCTGAATATATTCATCTGGCATTTAGGAAGTCCAAGTCTGGAGAAATAAACCTGGGTATCCTCAGGACATAGAGAGGAGTACTCATTTTTTTATCCCAATTTTTCCCAAAAAGTTTTTGTCAAGTCTAATTTGGTATAAATGAAAATGTATTTAGAGAAGGCAACAATTCTATTTCATCTCACTCTCGATGTTTAAAATCAAGCTCAAATGACTATTCTCATGTCCTGCAAGTTTTCTAGAGATCATTACTGTTATCTGAACTATTTAACACAAACTCTCACATAGTATTTTCTACTCCCGTCTATTTGGTATCCTAGGACCTTCTCTATGTTTAGTTGCTAGCAAAAAGTACCTCATTTTAAGTGCAATTAAGTCAGATAAAGAGCAATTAAAATTGTAGGAATAGGGCGGGGCACGGTGGCTCACGCCTGTAATCCCAGAACTTTGGGAGGCTGAGGTGGGCAGATCACAAGGTCAAGAGATCAAAACCATCCTGGCCGAAATGGTGAAACCCCATCTCTACTAAAAATACAAAAATTAGCTGGGTGTGGTGGCACGCACCTGTATTCCCAGCTACTCGGGAGGCTGAGGCAGGAGAAACGTTTGAACCCAGGAGGCAGAGGTTTCAGTGAACCGAGATCACACCATTGCACTCCAGCCTGGGTGACAGAGCCAGACTCTGTCTCAAAAAAAAAAAAGTAGGAATAGTACACACATCGCTTTTATCACACTGTGCTAAACTGAATATTGTTGCTTACATTTGTCCCCCCTCCACATTTACATTCTCTCCTTATCAGTCACCATCTCATGCGCTTTTTTTTGTCTGGTCCATAATAAGCTATTAAAAAAATACCTACCTGTGGAACAAATGAATAAAAAGGGGAGACAAGCAGCATGAATTTTCTCATATACAGCGTAGTGTAGCACTATATATAGGATGCTGGTCTGAATATTTGACTTTGTTAAATAACTTGCATGCACTTTAACTGTCACTTCCTCTATGTAATCATTGTTATTATTTGAGAACGTCTCATCTTTCAGCTATGTTTATATGATAAGCACTATTATTCATTTTTGTTTCCCTCACAGTGTCAGTCACTCAAAGGCAAACAAAGTATTGGGTTGCTGCAAAAGTAATTGTGATTTTTACCATTTTTACCATTTAAAAAATGGCAAAAACCACAATTACTCTTGCACCAACCTAATTAACACTTCAACTCCTTCAAGTTATACAGAATATAAGTAATAAAAATGTTGAGGATATTTAATTGTTCAGCTTTAAAGTGCAATTATGAGAAAATAGATTTACCAAAGATGTCTTTATAGTGTGCACCTTTCTTAAAATATTGCTTGGCTTTTAAAAAATGTCATTTGTATATACCTCAAGAATATAGTCATTATGTAAAGGAAGTACACTTGTATTAAATGTCAGCCCTTGGCCTAAGAGAGGTGATGAAGTTTCAGGGATGCAGAGTTTATTCTCTTGTTCCTCAGCAAGATCTAGGAAGGTTTCTGATTAGAACCAAGATGGAAAACCAGTCATCAATAGCAACTTTATCTAAGATTTTAACTGGTCATATTTCCTGTTCATAAACTCATTCGAAGGTCTACTTTGTAACCTTTCTTTTCAAGTTAAATAGAAAATATTTAAGGTTTCATGTCTGGGTTGTTACAGTCAAAAGCTACAGAAAACTTTCCCTTGTGCCTGAAAAAAAGGTCATTTTCTGTTTTCCAGTGACAGTAAAAAATGCATTTATATGCTATAATGAATCAGTTATAATTGGTGCTGATAAAACATGATTTAATATATATACATTTTGTAGTAGCATTTTTTATATTTGGAAAAATGATGAGACTCAGGCTATGGTTACATCAAAATCTGTGAAAACCACCTCCTTGGTAGGTAGCATTCATTTTTGTGGTGTAGACATTACTTCCCTATCATGTATCACCACATTTTCCTATATATGTGATACATACTTCTTCAGGATTTTCTAGGCAATTTTAGATTTATAAATTTGAAGCATAAAAAGGTAAAGAAAGACCCAGATCTGTTGGTCACATCAAAAGTTTTCCTCTCAAAATAATCTTATTCTCTGCATTGGAAACTATATACCAATTTATATGCCAGGCTCATTAACATTATTTGGGAAAATATATGAGGCCATGAATTGGATGAAGAATCAATATATCTCAATTTTCCATAAGTTCTGCCATTGACTCACAAAGTAAATGACTTTAGTGAAGTCACTGATTGTCCTTAGGTATACAAATTGAACTGATTTAAGGTCTCATAGTTATTGACACAAGTCTTCTGCAAATAACTGGTATACTTTACTGCTTATATTTCCATAATTCATTACACTTTTAAAGGGTTTTTATACCTGTGAAGATGAACAACTCTGTAGTCTATTCAACCAGTTTTGCTGCCTTTAAAAGTATTCTAGAACAGGTAAGGTTGTCTCAACTCATTCCAATTCTTCATTTTTGTCAAAATTCTTTCTGATACTTGGCATCAGGCTATACCAAACACTAAATTTTAGAAGCCAGCATTCCTTAAAAACTATATTTCTCTTAGGTAGTAAATTTTTTTTTTTTTAAGAATCCCGTCCAGCAATTTAACAAAGCTCTGCCTTAATCCAGATGTATGACTCACCTCTCTAGGCCTACACAGTATTAATTTTCCTTAAGAATGGCAAAGGTCATCTCATCCTTTATAACGTTTTTTGAGAGGAAAAATTCTATCAGTATCTTTAAAGATGCTTTGGGAAGGGAAAGAACACAGCGTTTTTAAATTTTACATTTCAATAAAATCCGAAGTCTCTTGCTTCATGCCGTTTCACTTGAAGAATTTTTAAGCTTGTTTGTTTTATGGACGGAGTCTCGCTCTGTCACCAGGCTGGAGTGCAGTGGCACAATCTCGGCTCACTCCAACTTCTGCCTCCCAGGTTCAAGCGATTCTCCTGCGTCAGCCTCCTGAGTAGCTGGGACTACAGGCACATGCCACCACGCCCAGCTAATTTTTGTATTTTTAATAGAGACGGGGTTTCACTATATTGGCCAGGATGGTCTCGATCTCTTGACCTCGTGATCCTCCTGCCTCAGCCTCCCAAAGTCCTGGGATTACAGGCATGAGCCATGGTGCCGGCCTTTTAAAGCATTTTAAATGGCATTTAGCCAGAGTTTATAATACTAATCCTAATGGTAACACATATACATTCACCTAAGTTGTGTCACAGGTAACGTGTATGTTAAAATATCTGCACTAAGCCCTAGTACATATGGATATGTAGAAAACAATACACACACACATACATACACACACACACACACACACACACACACCTTTATTTAAAATAAGGGAAAGCACCGTCACTCTTGGGGAAAAAGTCCTCACCCCTTTCCTTAGCCACGCATGATACACGAGAGGCTCTGTCCTTGAATGAATGGTCAACAGAGAATTCTCACATAGTAAGGAGTGTTGATTAATAATTAAATAATGACATCCACAAGTCAAACTTGAGCTGTTTTAATCAGATAATTTTACACATAAATTCCTAGTTAGCCAGATTGATTTGGTTATTCTAAATGGCCAAATAAATCTGCAACACACCACAATTATTTCTCCCACACATGATGAATAGCTAATAATTTTAAAAACCTATTGCCATACAGAACCATACTTTCTTACTATGTTATGCCCTGGGGGTTCGCTTCCACATGCCACATTGCTATCATGCTTTTCAATGAATTATGCATTATGCACGTCAGAAAACTTTAAAGAAACAAGCAAAAAAGTATGAAAAACAATAATTCATGTATTTTATTATAAAAGTGTGCTTTATTGTAAGGAAAATTTAAATATAACCAACAATACTGAAAATAATGTACGTGGCATTTATAGCCTTGGTCAAAGTTCTTTATTAAACAGGCGTTTGCTGTTCCATGAATAGTTAACAATTAGTTTATGCAACAAAATAGATAACTTGAAAAAGTGAGTAAGAATACAGAATGATGAACCAGGAATCTGGAGTTCTTTTGTGTTTTTTCTTGTTTAACAGACATGGCTTTTAAAATAAAATCTGAAATATAAAACAAGTCATCTTCATGTAGAGAGCTCTCTTTTCCTACAAGAAGGTTTTGCAAAAATGTTAAACAGTGTTCTAAAAATGTGGCTGAAGTTATACTTTACATACTTTAACTTCTTATATATACATTATCCAATTAACATTCTAACCACATTTTCATATACAAGTGGGACCATAAACATTCTCTAGTAAGACTACACTAGCACAGAGTAATTTTACCCATGTATATATATTCATTTGAAACCTGTTTCCCAAAATGAAATCACTCATTTAAAAGCAAACAACTGGTTAGAATTAATGTCTCTAGACACTGGGTCATGGGGCCTAGAAATCATGTAAGAGTATATTGCTTTGGTTGAATATAATTAAATTCATCTTATGTGGCAGCATACTGAGCATATCAATGAACAATGAAAATCTAGTACATCTGAGTTCTTTCTGCACTAATTTCAACTATGAGTCTACATTAAAGCAATGGCAAGGCCTAATGGTATATATGGTAAGGTCAGAAATTCATTTTGTCTTTATATAGGGTTATGCTCATAAAAATTTGTTTCTATTCCTCTAGAGGATGTTTTTAAGAATTAAAAAAACCAAACAAACCCATATTGGCTGCTGATCAATGAGATTGTGGGTTGGCAACCATCCTAAGAAAGAACGGAAACCCAAGGGAACAGATGTCTACATAGGACTGTATTATGCAGGCCTAGTGAAGAACAAAGAAATAAACTGTGGGCATGCTGATAAGGATCCCACATTATTTTTGGGATAGGAGAGATTTTTTAGGTGTAAAATCTTAAAGAATACAAAAAATGTCGGATCTTAAGTTTAAATCACTTTTTAAAAAAACAAAACTTTGTGACATTAAATGTCAAGATCAAATTTTTAAAGACATAGAATACAGAGAATTGCAAAATAAAAAAAAGCAGATATATGCTTGATGAGGGAAAAATGCATTAATGATCTCTCATCTAAAACACTGTTTTCCTTATTATCATAATGACTAAATTGCCTGTCCATAAAACCACTGGAATATGTATGTTACTGACATTATGCCAACAAAGTCAAAATGTACTTTATTGCAAAAATATAAAAAGTTTTAAAACTGCATATGATATTTTATACCATTTCACCAATAGGCCAAGGCCAGCACATAACTTATCAAGCTAGAAAACTTTAAAACAAAAATGATTAAAATTTTACTGTGTTTAATGAGTTATAAAAAAAAGTGATGCCATGCTGTGTAGCATGTTTAATTGCCAAGTGCCCTCTTACATGGGGATAGTCACTAATATGATTATCAGTCTGAATAAGTAAAACACATATAGCCTATGATAACATCCTTTAATTATCTTCTTAAACACAGATACTTTCTATATATTACAATCATTTTAATAAACCTTTCAGTCATAATTTTGTGGAGTACAAAGTCATTTTATCAGTATGTTGATTTTTTTATGAACTACTCTTTAGAAAGTGATGTTAAAGCCTATTGACTATTAAATCACTACTGTTTATTGATACGTTGTAAATGTAAAAAAAGGAAAAAACCTGAAATCACAGAAAATGCTTGGCATCTACACAAACACATTCTCAGTGGACTAACCACTACTGTGTAATTTTGTCACTACAGGTCTTGCTCCATACTTTTGCTTCATGCAGTGGGTTCAACAATATCCATGTTCGTTCCAAACAGGGCAACTAACTGTTCTTCATAGGTAGCGATGTTCCTTTTCATAATTTCCATGCAAGGTCCCAGAAGCCTTTCAAATGCTTGCACATCCATTGCTGAGAAAAGAGAAGATTTTTTTTTAAATAACATTCTTTGCAAATCTGCAGAATTTCTAAGTCATTTACAATACCGACTCCATATATATCAATAGTGCAATGATATTTTAGGTAAATACTATAAAATACAAGAAAAAGCATAATGATAAAAATGTTCCACTTGAAAAAGGAAGCAGCCAGGGCCACGCTCTTGGACCACACTCTGCAGTCCCTCGGCAATATGATGAGCAATGCTAAGTTGGTGGGAGGTTCCTGGTCCAAGCTGAGAAAAGAATGAGGGACTATCATGGAAAGACCTTAGAATTTTAAAAAATAAATGTGCTGTCTCCACCTTAGCAATGTGAACTCCTCAAGGGTGGCACAAGAGTGTTTTCTATCCTGTGTTCCCTTCTCAGGGTTTAAAATGCCATGTTGTGAAGGCCAAGTGTTAACCTTTTGTAAGTTTTGCTGCCATACTATGTCTATGCAATCCAAAAATGGCAGCTGACATAATGCTTTTGTTTACTTCTATAAGTACATGCTAGAAATCACTTTGCTTGCCTGTCTCCTGGATTTTAAAACTGGATTTATAATATATAAATAGAAAATATGATCATACTCTATACATAAAAGTACAAATTAAAATAGATCTTCTTTGCCTTTTACACTAAAGATAAAAAGATAAAAAAGGCAATGTTTACAAGAATAGGGTGAATGGGCATTATGGCACTGCTAGTAGTGTACAAATACAAGTAATCTGGCAATATGTGTCAAAAGTTAATTTTTTAAAAACCCACTCCTGAAAACCATTTCTAAGGAAAACTCCTATAATACAGAAAAGTCTTCTATGCACAAAAAATTGCTCCCCACAAAAAAGTTGGAGCCAAAACCTTCGAAGTATTTACCACTAAGGAATGATTAATTTATCGTGTATATATTTACCTAAAAGAATTTTAAAATTTGGTGTAATAAAATAAGAACATTCCTAAGCGATAATGAACTTTAAAAGTTGTTTGGAAAACTGTTTAACAACTGGAAGCCCACACAAATAAAAAGGACAAGAAGGAATTATAATAGCAGAAATCACTGAGTGGCGGTGTTATGTTTTTTCTACATTTTCTGTATTTCTCAGGTTTTCTTTGATGTGAGTATAATAATCTATTATTGAAAAAAAATTAACAGACTTTCACTCACTCACCTTTACTCTTTCTAATAGACTTTCACTCACTCACCTTTACTGTAATAGACTTTCACTCACTCACCTTTACTATTTCTAATAGACTTTCACTCACTCACCTTTACTCTTTCTAATAGCCCTACTTAGGGAAATTACCTGCCAGTTTCTAATCGTCTTCTCTTCCATCCAAATTTAACACTTGATTAATATTATACTTATTTAAACCCTTTTAAAGAATGACTTCTCTAAGAAGTTAATTCTAAGGATCCTTGCAAATCTTAAAAACATTAAGTTTATGCTATTGAATTATGGATGAAAAGCACAGAGAGGGTAATAACTGTGAGATCAATTTTCTTAAAATACCCTCCATATTGCCACCTTCTAAACTGTATTTTCTTATCAAAGTAAGTGATTTCTCAGATATATAATCTCAGATATATACAGATGCCTGCACCTGAAGATGACATTTCTGCCAAGCTACTCTGGTAAAATAGTAATAACAACTGAACAGCAAAGAACATTTGACTGTGCTTTGACAAACCTGAACCTTTGTGTCCCAATACTGTAATGAGTAAGGATTCTCACAACATCTCAGCATTCCCCGCAGATCTTAATAACGGACTTTATAAAAATAGTACTTTAGCCTTCTCTTTTGAGGAACATAGCACATGTTGCTTATTTGAGAGATTCCATATAAAACGTGGTACTTGGAACTCTTATTTTAATGACTAATATGGGATGTTATTTCATATATACACAAGAAGAGCAAAATGTATCTGGATGTAAAAATTTCGAAGAAAAAATGGCTTCCACAAATTGATTTTATAAGGCAATGAGTCCTAATCTTGTTACCTTTTGTGGGGACCACAAAACCTGTGAACCCAATAAAATGATTCACTCAACATGAATACATAAAATGCAGACATAAGTTCAACCAGCAGAAGCACGCCCACTGTTGCAATCCCTACCTAAACATTTGACAGTCCCAATGGCGTGGGCAGAAGCTGCTCGAGGTTTGTTAGTTACCAGGGCAAGCTCTCCAAAGTACTGTCCCCGCGAGCATCGAGCGATTTCTACTGCACCATTCTCTTCCACTTCTGATTTACCCTGACAAGGCAATTAAAAAGATGAGCTTTTCCTCAGCTTATGAAAAATAAAATTAACCTCAGTCTAAACATCAAAAAGTAGATCTGTTGTGTTCCTTGCTAACAGTATGTGGGTTCTGAGGACTTAGAATGCTTACCTTTCTTTTCATAGTAATTTTCACTTCTCCAGATTCTACAATGAAAAAAGAATCAGCCGAATCTCCCTATTGGAATCAATAACAAAAACAGACGGTGAAAATGCAAATTAATTGACAACAATCTTGTTACCTTTCATATCCCTAAAATTGATCCAACCCCAAAGTACACATATTCACCTGAAAAGTGAAATCCTAAGGGAACAAGCTGTCTCGGTTTCTAAATCAAGAGGTTTTTTTTTTTTTTGAGACGGAGTCTCACTCTGTTGCCCAGACTGGAATGCAGTGGCGCGATCTCGGCTCACTACAAGCTCCACCTCCCGGGTTCACACCATTCTCCTGCCTCAGCCTCCTGGGTGGCTGGGACTACAGGCGTCTGCCACCACGCCCGGCTAATTTATTTGTATTTTTAGTAGAGACGGGGTTTCAACGTGTTAGCCAGGATGGTCTTGATCTCCTGACCTCGAGATCTGCCTGCGTCGGCCTCCCAAAGTGCTGGGATTACAGGCGTGAGCCACCGAGCCCGGCCCTAAATGAAGAGGTTTTGATGGACAATTATGTAGTAATGATTTCATTTGTAAAATTATTTGAAATAATACTTTCTTTTTCCCCCCCAAGATGGAGTCTCGCTCTGTCACCCAGGCTGGAGTGCAGTGGTGCAATCTCAGCTCACTGCAGCCTCCACCTCCTGGATTCAGGCGACTCTCCCACCTCACCCTCCCAAGTAGCTGGGATTACAGGCATGTGCTACCACACCCAGCTAATTTTTTTTTCCTTTTTTTAAAATTTTACTTTAAATCAGGGATACATGTGGAGAACATGCAGGTTTGTTACACAGGTATACATGTGCCATGGAGGTTTGCTATACCTATCAACCTGTCTGGTTTTAAGCCCCGCATGCATTAGGTATCTGTCCTAATACTCTCCCTACCTTCACTCCCCACCCCCTGACAGGCCCCGGTGTGTGATGTTCCCCTCCCTGTGTCCATGTGTTCTTATTGTTCAACTCCCACTTATGAGTGAGAACATTCGGTGTTTAGTTTTCTACTCCTGTGTTAGTCTGCTGAGAATGATGGCTTCCAGCTTCATCCATGTCCTGCAAAGGACATTATCTCATTCTTTTTTATGGCTGCATAGTACTCCATGGTATATATGTACCACGTTTTCTTTATCCAGTCTATCACTGATGGGCATTTGGGTTGGTTCCATGTCTTTGTTATTGTAAATAGTGCTGCAATAAACATATGTGTGCATGTGTCTTTATAGCAGAATGATTTATATTCCTTTGGGTATATACCCAGTAATGGGTTTTCTGGGTCAAATGGTATTTCTGCCATTAAAAAGTGGGCAAAGGATATGAACGGACACTTCTCAAAAGAATCAAAAGAAGATATTTATGCAGCCAAAAAAAAAATGAAAAAAAGATCATTACTGATCATTAGAGAAATGCAAATCAAAACCATAATGAGAAACCATCTCACGCCAGTCAGAATGGCAATTATTAAAAAGTCAAGCAACGATAGATGCTGGTGAGGTTGTGGAGAAATAGGAATGCTTTTGCACTGTTGGTGGGAATGTAGATTGGTTCAACCATTTTGGAGGACAGTGTAGCAATTCCTCAGGGATCTAGAACCCGTATTTATTTATTTTTTTGTATTTTTATTAGAGATGGGGTTTCACCATGTTGGCCAGGCTGGTCTCGAACTCCTGACCTTGAAGTGATCTACCTGCCTCAGCCTCCCAAAGTGCTGGGATTACAGGCGTGAGCCACTGTGCCTGGCCTTGAAATAATATATTCTCTACCACTGTATTTCTGCTAAAAAACCAAGAAAATGTGGCAACACTGGGGTAAGAATTTCACCCAAATTTCAGCCTAGATAACAGCATACATAGTTGGAAATGGCAACACTGCTGTGTATGCCAGCAGCGTCCCCTTAGTTGGCAGAAACATGTCTGCGGATCCTGTGCTCCTGAGGAAGTGCCGAGACATGCACCCTGCGTCATCCTAACATCGCAAGCATTGGTGTGGTGACCCAAGATAAGCCATCAACTTGCAAAGAGCAGAAAGCATCCAGATGGAGCCGGAAGCAGCAGATGTGGGCCTTGACATTTTCACTACAGTCAACTGAGGACCAAACTCTGACATGCTAGCCTACTGACATTCCATTTCAAGGCTTTGGAAGGACTTCTAAAAGAAAAGTGTTGCTCTACCCATATACCTGTTCTTTCTTGCTTTTGTTTCTTAATGAACTCTGCCTTGATCTCCAATGATGCAGTCTGAATTAAACAATACAATATGGAAGATAATAATACAGACACTGACTTCTCTAAGCCTCTCAAAGTGATTCTGGAGAAACTTAAAATATTTCAAAACTCCTTAATACAAATTCAAGAAGTTTAGCATCTGATTCTATCACAAAAATAAATGTTGAATTTAGATTTTTAGAATATAGGGTGTATATGTATATTTATAAATGCTTAAAAGACAACAAATATGTAAGAATATCCTTAATAAACCCTAAGTATAGCATATCTCCTTTCCCTTATTCTTGTATCAGGTTTTCATAAAAGCTT